>NC_000004.12:84224411-84375926 GCF_000001405.40 Homo sapiens | reverse complement strand
GTACAAAAACATGTGAACACACACAAAAAGTTGACTTTCAGTCATGATTTTTCACAATGTACTCAAAGCCTGTCAAAATAGGTGACATTGATTTTTCATGTAATTATACAATTTTTCCAATCCTCTTACCCAGTTTAATTAGGAAAGGGTAGACGGCAAATAGAATGTGTGCTAAGCAATTTCCTTTGTAGGATTTGGTTAAGAATATCTAAGTCATATTTGCCCTCTCTCTAAATATACTGCTTAATTGGTTGTGAGAAGTGGGAACTTGAGATCCTCAGTGAAGAACCTAAATTGGTTCTCTTGTTGACAAGAGCCTGTATATAAAACAGACAGGAGAGGAACTGAAAAGATGACAACAGTTTAAGCACACAGGAATCTTTCTAACACTGGTGCTTAGGAAGAAAACCCATTGTTGCCCATCTAGCTCAAAGCTCCTGGAAATTGGCCAGATCCTGGTCTTTTGAGAAATAAACAACCACCATCACAACAATTTTCACTGTACCCTATAGCCTGAGGTAGGTAGCATTTGCCATATGCCATAGATGGAGTAACTAGGGGCACAAGAGATTCAGCAGTTGTCTGAAATCTCACAACAAGTTGAAAATAGATCCCTAGCGGCAGCCAAGTTTCCTGCCCTGAAAGTGAAGAGACAGACCTAAAAAATGAGATTAGATTTGAAAGAGCATCTATAGTTTCCAGGGGCTTATCTGAACTATGTTTCTCCTATGACCCTTTTTGAGTTTACCCATCATAAGTAATAGCATGACCTGTTCTTCAAGTCATTCAAAAATGCATTTGTTCTCCATAATAGAGAGAGAAACTCCAGCCAAATTATATTCTAATGTATCATAGCCTTGAACCCAGGGACCATTTTGCATTGCTGACTAGGTGGCTGCTGAATACATTATTATTCCAACATGGTTTGAGTCAGCCTTGCAAAGAGGCAGAAGTTCCCAGATTGTCTCTAATATTGTTATTATTCTTTTTTTTTGCAGCGTTAGATGGGCAGGGTAAAAAGGAGGACAAGAATGAATACTTGGGTATAATCTGCTCTTGCTGTTGGGTAGGTATTATCAGCCCCATTAGACCTCATTTCTGCAGGAGTAGATCGAATGAGTGTATCTCTGACAGAATTTCCATGCTCCCAGCTGAAGCAGGTGTAGCTGGGTGGAGGAAGGCCAAAGAAACTCAAGAAGGTAAGTATTTTAAATGGGTGATTCTGAATTTTCAAGTTTCCTCCTGGCCTGAAGAAGTTAAGTTGTCAGTTATCTACCCAGTGGCTTAGACAGGGAGAAAAGAGACCACAATGCCTGATACTCCAGGTCCTTTTTTAATATGGAGGAAAAACTGAAAATCATTCTTTCATTTTAATTTAAAAGTATGAACTCAGATTCTTAGAAGAGGCAAACCAAGGAAAGTGTAAAACGACTTACTGATAAGAAATGTCTTCTGCCACAGAGCTGGTTGGAGCTAGTCAGTAACCAAAGCCAACACATGAAGTAATAAATATAGCATTGTAGCTAACCATGCCTTGCTAAATCACCTATCACCATAACATCTAGACCCTTTGCCACTGAATCTACCTTAACTAGACTCCAGACACTGCAGTACTAATGTGGTGTACTGAATCATACCATAGTGCCTGCACAGAGGGAGCATTTCTTCCTAAATACCCTTTTAGTACCATGGGCGACTAAGGCGGGGGGAGAATGGAGCCCAACATGCTATTGGACAGATGCCTCACTTAATTCCATGCCAACTTGGTGATGCCACTGTCTGAGATACTTGAATCCCTCAGGCTAGGTCCAGGAACAATTTTCAAACATGAGAAGAGAGCTTGGCAGGCACAGGGAAAATGGTTTTCTTGCCCCAAGGCCTGAATTGCTGGATTGGGTATTTACACTGCCTGGGTTTGTCAGATGATCACTTCATTTTTCCTTTTAGGCCATTTTAGCTGTGCACATTCTGCCTGTGAGCAATTAAAAGGAAAATCTGTTTCTCCACCAATGCTGTTACTGCTAACTTTTCTCTTTACGTGTAAATTTGGCCCCTTGGGGCCTTGTGTATTCATGAAAAGGTTTATGTCAATTTGCTAGGGAAAAATGTCAGATCTACATTCAAGAACCTGGGAAACATTGGAAATTCACTTTTCCCATGAAAAGTAATAGTTCATTACAGACCAGTTGGGAAAGGAAGAGCATTGTATCTGCACGAGGGATTATAGATTGGCTAAAAAGAAGTAACTGGAAGGAACAAGAGAAATTACAAGGTGTTTCTTTTATTTCTGTTTCTTATTTTCAAGCCATCCTGTTCATGTTGCAAAGGCAATATAGTGGAAAGATCACCCAACTAGGAGATTGGAGACCTTCATTTGAATCTTGATCCTGACACTAACTTGCTGGATGACTTTGAACTAGCTACTTAACTATTCAGGGTTTCCTCCTACCTAATGTTGGAGAGTTGAACTTGATGCTGTCTAGAAAGTCCCTCCTAGGTCAAATATTTGGTAGTTCATCTGAGTCTTTTCTGTCTTGTGGCTCTAATCCACACCTGAGTGGAGCCATTCATTTGATCGCTTCCCTTTTTCATCCATTCATACCACGAACAGGTGTTAGGTCCTTTCTCTTTGGTTCCTATTTTTTAAAGTGGTCCAAACCCACTGTCTTTATCTTCTTAAGGCTTCTGAGTGCCTTAGCCTTTCTTAGTGGCTACAATGCTTCTATGAAGCTCCTGAACTTTCTCTCTACAAGAGTGAATGGCTTTTTTTCATCTTTTCTCAGCTTCCTCTGAGGCTGGTGCCTTTGACATGGTTGACCTTGTACTTCAAGATACTTCTTTCTCTCCCTGACTCCCTCTGTAATACTCACAATACCAACTCTTCCTTCATCTCTAGTTGCTTTTTCTAGAAGATCTAGTTGCAGTCTTTCTCTGGGCTTTAGAATCATCCAGTCAGCCACGGCCTGGATTTTTCCTGTTGTATATTTCACCAAACACCCACAATCGGCAAGGGTGAGCCACATTTATCTCCTTGCTTCTGAAACCAATGCCTTGAAATGACATCTGATTCCTATAAAAAGTGCCCGATTCTCTTAATCACCAAGACCAGAATTCTTGGTCTTTTAAAATTATTTTCTCCTCCTTACCATAGCATATCTAAAAAATCATCAGATTCTTCAGATTTCACCAGCAAATTGACACTCATATGCCCCCTTCTTTTCCATGTATATTTCCCCATCGTTTCCTCTGATTTAGTCAGTCAGTAAAAATTTACTGATTCCTGGGTGAAAGGTACTGGCTTACAGGCTGTGAGAGAAGCGAAGATGTGGAAGATATGATATTTCCCTTTGAATAGTAACAATCCAAAAGAAGTTTCATTTATTAGTTACAAATTATAATTAATTAAAAAGAAAAGTAGAAAGTAAAAGTAAAAAAATTAGAAGGTAATTTAATTACAAAGAAAAGTAGAAAGATATAGGTGACAAAAGAGCGGAAAATACAATATTTGGGAGTTTGTGATAGCTGCAAAATATATCTTTGCCAATTTTAATTCATCTCAAATTCCAGCTATTTTATATTTCCAAATGGTTCTTTCTTGTTGGTCTAAATTACATTTGTAGTTCTCATTTCTTTCTTTCTCCTCTGTGTTTCAGGTAAGGCAGTTCCTCTCTGATGCCCTGCTCTCAGCATTTGTATTCTCTGGCAGCTCTTCAGGTAGTTGAAGTCTCTTACAACGTTTTCATTTTTCCTTTTTGGTAGCTTTGCAATCCTTATTGTAGAAGCATTATATACTTTCTGCCTGGATAGGGGAACTGTAGTATACTCCCAGATCAATATCACTTTTATTTCATTCTCCATTTATTCTCACCTAAGTACTATACTCAATCAACAAACAGTTTACGCACCTATTATTTGCTCTGTGGTAACAGTTGGATATAGAATGTTGACTGGGACTTGCTTCTGTCCTCAAAGTTATCATATGTTAGTAACAAAGTTAGACACATAAATAATTTTAACTTATTATGGTAACATGCTACGATAACTCTTGTTAACATTTATTGAGAATTAAGTATGTCTCAGGCACTGTTCTATATTTCTTACATATATTAATTCATTTAATCCCCACTAAATATAGGAGATCAATACTGCTGTTATCCCTATTTCACAGATGAGGAAGCTGAGACACAATCACGGAAGAGCAAGATTTAAAAGCCGGCAGTCTGACTCCTGATCTCTCACTCATCCACTACTGTAGACAGCCTTCTCTGTGTTTCATTAGCACATAACAAGAATTCATGCTCTCGGAGTACAAAGCAGGGTTTGTAATATCAATAAAAGAGACACTTTCATAGTGTTTTAGCTGAGTCTTGAGGAGAAAAGTAGAGTTTTAGTGAAGGAAGAAAGAAAGGCACTACATGCTGATTGTATGTTTGAAGGCGCTGCTGTTAAGAGGTGAAGATGCTGTTGTGGAAGATGAATCTGGGATGGACTAAGGATGGAACACTAACATTTAAAGAATGGAGGAAGAAAAGCAGTTGTGGAGAGTGAGAAAGACTAGAGATAAAGCAGAAAAAATCCTAGAGGGTTTAGTATCATGACCAGGAACTAGGCATTTCAAAAAGGAAGAAACGATCAACAGTGATGAATGAGAAGAGCTGGAAGGAATGTAGATGGAGAAAAGCCTAGAGATTTGTTACCTAGGACACTAGTAATGACCTCAGAGAATGCAGAATGGTAGAGGTGGAAGCAAAACTCAGAGGATTATTGAAAAAAATGAGAAAAGTAGAAAAGTGGAAGCAGGAAGTGCAGACATTTCCTATACCAATGTAGACATATTTGTGTTTATATACATACACATATTCATGTGTATTCCTAGTTTCAATAATGCACAATGTTGAGGTTAACCTTAAAAAAAGATTAATTTAGCAAAAGATAGAAAAGCAGATCTGAAAAAAGAATGTATTCCTTGCCATTATAGACTATGCTTAATAAGTAATACTTAGTTTAGTAGATTGTAGCTTGTGACAACATGAGAAGTGCATCCAGTAGATTCATAGTAGTTCTTACTGGGGTACCTGCTTATATTGTTGCTAGCAAACTATTTGGGCATGTTATTTTTTGTATCTGGACTAGTTCCTTATCTGCCAAGAACTAAATGATTAAGTCCCATCTAACATTTTAGGATGCTCTGATCTCCTTTTGACTTATAGAAATCACCAAAGTTAGACAGCTAATGACCACTCTTTTTAATATTTCCTCCTTCATGACATGGGAAATGATTTTTAACGCCACTTTAGCCCAATAATTCAGACATCTCACATTGTATATGCACGTGTGTGTTCATTTCAGTGCTATTCACAACAGCAAAAACACAGAAAAAACTTAGGTGCCCCTCAGTGGTGGACTGGATAAAGAAAATGTGGCACCTGTACACCATGGCATACTATGCAGCCATAAAAAAGAATGAAATCATGCCCTTTGCAGCAACATGGATGCAGCTGGAAGCCATTATCCTAAGTGAACTAACTCAGAAAATCAAATACTGCATATTCTCACTTTTAAGTGGGAGATAAACATTGGGTACTCATGGATATAAAGTTAAAAACAATAGACACTGGGTTCTAGTAGAGGGTGGAGGGTGGGAGACCAGTAACGGTCGAAAAACTACCTGTTGGGTATTATGCTTATTACTTGGGTGACAGGATCATCTATATACCCCAAACCTCAGCATCACACAATATACTCATGTAATAAACCTGCACTTGTACCCCCCCGAATCTAAAAGTCAAAATTATGTTTTAAAAAAGAAAATATCTCAGAGTCTTGTCTTCTAGATTTTCTTCATTTCAACAGTTTGCCTTCTATTCTTTTTCAGTTGCTTAGATTTAAACTTCCTCAGAGTCTCAGTGAAAAGGACGAGTTTATTCAGCTGGAAGAATTGAACCTTGAAAGTATACCCTTTAACCTTAAGTTTTAAAACACTGGGTTACAAATAAGAATATAAAGTTTTATTCATCTCTAAACATACTAGCAAAGCAACTGATCTTTTAAACAGAAAATTATCAATCACTAAGGACGCTACCAAAAATAGAAATATTTAAACATTGTAATCAGACACCTCTAGTGATTTGTGAATATCTGGAAGTCCTACTGAACCATCAGCTATTTGACATTATGTAGAGTTAGCTTGAGTCTAGGTGACTTGTTCCTTGGAAAGGCTTAGTTAGCACGGACCTGAAGTACTTCTAGTATGAATTCTATCCTAATGTCTTTAAGAGCATTGGGTGGAAAAGAGATGTACCAACACACACAATGTTCTGCACATGGAGTCATTAATGAATAAATTGGCTGAAGCACCTAGAAAGGTTTCAAAATGCCCAATATCATCTTACTCAAGGAAATTTGTTTCCTCGATGGAAAGCATGCCAAAAACAAAAAACAAAAACAAACAAACAAAAAAACTAGTAGAACAAACAAGTGGAGAAAATAGAAAAGCGGAGAATAGCAGAAACCTTGAGTCCCTTTATGTTCCTTAAAAAGTTTTTGATTATTTTTGTTTTAATCCATTCAGCAAGTATTTATGGAGTGCCATCTGTATGCTATGATAAGCTCTAGGGTTACATTAATAGATAAAACAGCCCCCTACCCCTATCAAAAAAAAATCCCTACTCTCATTAGCTTCTTTTAAATTTATACCATTGTTTAATGGGAATGAGCCCAGTTGAATTTTTTCAGTAACATATTTTAAAATAAGCTTTATTTTCAAAAACAATTTTAGATTTACAAAAAAATTGAAAAGATAGTTCAGAGAGTTCTCATCCACTCCACATAGTTTTCCCTATTGTTATCTTTCATTAGGATATATTTGCCACAATTAATGTGTCAATATTGATACATTATTTTTAACTAACACCTATAGTTTATTTATATTTTTTATATTTTTCATTTGTGTCTTTTTTCTGTTCCAGGCTACCAGCCAATCCAGAATACCACATTACATTTAGTAATCAGGTTTCTATCACTTCTTAGGCACTTTATACAAGTCATTTCATTTAGTCCTAACGAGAACCCTGTAAGGTAAGTACTACTATTGCCTCATTTTATATATGAGAAAATCGAGGGTTGGAGAAGTTAAGTAACTTGCCTAAAATTATGCTTAGTTATATTGTGAAGCTGAAATAAAAACTCAAGTTGTCTTACCTTCAACTCCTATGCATACTCTTCCACTGTACCACCCTGAGTCTTAATACTTTTTTTGTTTCAGCAAAGCAACCACTCTATCTGAATTACTTTTTAAGTTTAGACCTTAGGGATGCTATTGTCTTAACACTAGTTGACAAAATTTAAAATCTTTTATTTACTAACGATATATATCCATTATTGAGAAAAATAAGTAAGTCATGAAAGTCCTAAGCAAACACTTTTTAACTACCAACAGAGGTAAAAAAATTTTGTAAATAAAAAAATGTAATTTTATCCAATTTTGCTATCCATTTTGATTGTAATCTACACTTTATTTTTACTTTTTCACTTAAAAAGCTCATGACTATTTGATGTATATTTTTTCTTCCCTTTCTCTTTCATTAGCCTTTGCCGCCACGTTGGTTTGGATCTTTATTGCTTTTTATAGGACAATTTAAAAATGCCTTTATTGATCTTTCCATTGTCTCTCCTTGACTGTTTCCTTTCATGTTACTTCCCTCCTCAAACAAACAAAAACAAAAACCAAAAACCTGAGAAAGATAATTTGTGATCTGATCCCATCCTGCTTTTTCCACCCCATCCCTCACTTCCCACTGTGAGTGTACCCCAGCCATACTGGGTAATTTTTTGCTGATTGGATGTGCCATGTGCTCTCTCCTTTGTCAGAACCTTTGTTTATGCTCTTTCACCCAGGGAATATATTTTCCTGCATCTCCACTAGTCAAAACTCCTTAAGATTTGGCTCAAAATCCACCGTGTTGTTGAAACTTCCCCTGGGTCCTCTAGCTCAGTTGTCTCTTTCCTGTCTCTGCTCTTAGGTACTTAACCCAGAGGAGATATTATGTGTTCTAGATTAAAGGTTCCTTGAGGGCCGTACTCCTGTCTCCATCATCTTTGTATCTTCTGGGCATTACTTTAGTGTATTGCTCAATGTTTGCCTAATACATGAAATAGATTGATGGATAGATGGATGGATAGGTAGGTAGATCAGTCAATTGATTGATTGACAAAGGGGGTGCCAACAATGCGTTAAAAATGTGCTTAATGCTAAAATTCCACAATAATTATAATACTGTGACTCTGGGCTTCGCTGCATTTTTAAGGTGTGGGAAAATTAAACAAACCAAAGAGAATGCTCATAGCACTCAGGTAATTTTCCTGCGATTATTTCTAATTGTGGATAGAAAAAAAAATCTGGCTGGATTCTTAAGTTAGCATAAAAATGACTTGGATGTTATGACACAATAATGCCCAGAGACAGCGGGGAAATTAAAACATTCCATAATGGTTTTAAATGGAATTTAGATTTGTGACTGAAAGTGTTGCACTGGAAGATACTAAAGGCATATTATGTCACTCTAATTTGGGTTTTGAGAATAATGGGGAGATGGCTGAGGAATTAAATACTAGAACAAAACAAAATAGAATATAACCACAAGAAGCTCATGCTGTTCCAAAGGAAAGCTTTTATCCAGCACAGAGCTGTATCGGACCTTGATTCAGTGAAGCTTAGGGCTCCTGTGGTGTTTTCCTCTTCAAAGCCCTGTGCAAACATGAACAAAGTTAATCTAATTAACTTATTAGCTTTTTAAGCTAGTGGTACCAATTAGTCACCTCATCAGACTCTGGCTTGGGTCTCATTGTGCAGTGCATAGCTATAAAGGGGCTTTCATCAAAACCCCCAGGAGTACAGCGCATGGCATTTGTGTGTGTTTTCAAGAGAATGGCAGAAAGAACCATGTGCAAGGCAATTATGGGGAATCCTCTCTGGGAAAACTTTAATCATAGTGACCATTCTCATCACCTTTTTCTAGAAAGGAAATCACATATTAGCTTTCATTCTGGAAGCGTGAACCCTTCCTTTCACCTGAGTCTGGAGAATAATTATAAATCTTAGACTTATATTCCTGGATGCCCATGGGGGAGAAAGCCTCATCAGCAACAGGGAATCATAGAAGGTCTGGCAGTTTGGGTGGTATTTTTTTAAAGGGGGAGAAAAGGGGATTCAAGCAGGGTGCAATGAGAATAGTGATCCCAAAATACAGCCCTGCAGGAAGACTTCCAGAGAAACAATGGGGAAGGAATAAATAAAAAGAAAGTTATAAATTCATCTATTTGCTCTTCCCTGACCCTTGCTTTTACTCCTCTTCACTGCAACTACCCTGGGAAAGGCACAATACTTTCCCCTGTCACAATATTGAGAAAAATTGAAATGGGGAAGAAAGACCACCAGATGCTTTATTGTCTTAGACGTTTCCACATAATTAGCTGGGGATAAAGGGCCTCTGCATGGTTTCATTGCATTGAATGAACTTGGATATTGCTACACAGTAGTGTGTTTTATGATTCATGCTCAGTTATCCTGTGGCTTTTTGAAAACTGCCAGCTACTTTATCACTGCCAGCCAAGCCTGGGCCCACCACTTAAAATGCAGCAATGCAAAGTTAACTGTGCATGACAGATGTCCATGAAATTGTTTAACACACACATACACGCTCACACAGAGCACAAAGCTGGCTCTGGCCCCCTTTCGAGTCTTGCTGGCTTAGTGTCCTTATTAAACATAAATAAAAACTATAGGGCTAGGAAAGAAAGAAAAATTCATGAAACAACTAAAAAGAGGGCACATTTTGGACTGTAGTTACATTGGATGCATTTAGAATTTCAAAAAGGCTCTTGAAAAAGTTAGAAATAATGAAGTCATGAGAAAAGCAAAGAACTGGTGTGTTTGGGGGTTAGTTTAGGAAATTGGGTATTAGAGGTCATCTTCTTTTCCCTCTGAACTGATATAACCAAAGCATTATTATGTCTCCTCCCTTCAGTCTTCAGTCCTGTGTGCCATGGAAAGTGATTTCTTAGTGTGGTCCCTCATCTGTTTTATACCTTGACATCTTCTCTCTAATCCTCCCATTTCTTTTAAGTACTGTGTATCTTATATTTTGACTCCATTGCACATCCGCCCTCTTCACTCAACATGCCAGCTCCCTTGATCCCTTTGGCTTTTGCAGAAGGAAAATGCTTTTCCTACTCACTCTCTATTTTTGTAGAACAATTTTTATGTCATATTGCATTGTGAGTTTTGATGTAAGTGCCTGTCTCCCTTACCAGATTCAAAGCTCTTTGAGTGCTGAGGCTGTGACTTACTCATCATTGTATCAGGGTCAACATAGTAGCCAACATAAAGTAGATGCTCAACCAATGTATAGTGGACATCAAGGTCGACTGAGAGAAAATCAAGCCTGCCAGGGTAGCTGGGTGAATGCACACTTCCAGTAGTTCCCTTGAGTGAGGCTTCCTATGTCTTGGTTTCGTACATTACTTTTTGGCAGTGACATGCT
Source organism: Homo sapiens (assembly GCF_000001405.40). NCBI lineage: Eukaryota > Metazoa > Chordata > Mammalia > Primates > Hominidae > Homo > Homo sapiens. The sequence continues at coordinate 84,365,385 of NC_000004.12, read as the reverse complement.
CTATTTTCCTGAAAACCCTGATGAATTACTTTTCAGAAGTTAAGGGATTAAAAGGGACAAGAAGTTGGTAAAGAGCATGGTGGGTTGGGTTGGAGATAAGTCTCAACATCAATCAGTCCTATCCCTGGCTGTTTGTGAAGAAATGCCCCATTTTTTTTTTTTTTTTGGAAAAGAGTCCCCCTCTGTTGCCAGGCTGGAGTGTAGTGGTGTGATCTCGGCTCACTGCAACTTCCACCTCCCGTGTTCAAGCGATTCTCATGCCTCGGCCTCCTGAGTAGCTGGGATTACAGACGTGTACCACCACGCCCAGCTAATTTTTGTATTTTTAGTAGAGACGGGGTTTCACTATATTGACCAGGCTGGTCTCAAACTCCTGGCCTTATATGATCTGCCTGCCTCGGCAGGCACTTTGCCCACAAAGTGTAGCACCCCATTTTTGACAGTGGCACACAGTGCTTGTTTTACTCTTTCTCTCTCAAATCTTTTAGTCATTTACCACATCTTGGGGTGTGTATTAGTCAGCTTGGGCTGCCATAACAAAATACTACAGATAGGGTGGCTTAAACAACAGAAATTTATTTCTCACAGTTCTGGAGGCTGGAAGTTCAAGATAAATGTGTCACCAAGTTAGATTTCATTCCAAGACTTCTCCTCCTTGCATGAGGAGGTTGCCATTACCCTGTCTGTGTGCTCACATGACCCTTCTCCTTGACATTTAACGACAACCCAAAATTGCTCTTCTAAAAAAAGGCAAGAGGACCTGCTCATGGTGCTGGGATAGAAACATGGAAAAATATAAGTAGAGATATAATACACTATACAGAAGCTACATTCAGAATCTCTAGAACTTTTTGGAATAAATAAGCAAATACTCGCCATAGAAATAAAATGAGAAAACATCCATGAAATTTCCACCGTGAGGATTCTGAGTTTTTGATATCCATTTTCCCTCCCTTTTTCCCCTTGACTTATGACATGAAGGAGAAATGCAACTTCCCTTCAGGCTGGCTGGCAGCCAGCAGTTAGACCCAGTTCAATCAGTGGGCTCTGGGTGATGGGACCAGTAACCCCAGTTCCCCTTCTTCCTGAAGCCTGTGTTTCAGAAATGCTTTGCAATGGAGTTTAGTCTTTTGTGCTCTGGCAGGCGAATCCAGAGTTTACAAAGAGCCTCTTGATAAATTGTGATACTCCTGTACCCAGGAATCATAACTTGGAGAGGAGGAGACTTATAGGCACCTTCTTCCAAATCCAAGAGGATAATTTTCACGTTTTTGTTGACATGTTTTCCTATAATTGTATATTGTTGTTCTTTATGAGAGGTTAATGTCCCCAAAAGGAGGATCGATGAATATGGGTTTTATCATGTTCTTTAAATCTGGAGTAATTTAATTTACTTTTTAAAGTATTTTGTGGTATGTTTTTAAGATTGTGCACTAAGGGATTATTGCTATTTTACATGTAATAAGAAACACCTCAGAGGAAAAAGAAAAACAAAAAACCCTGAACTCTTTCTTTAACTTTCAAGACACCCCTTCCCTCAACTTAGTATATTCCTTATCATTATGAAGGGAGCCAAACTCTTTGACTCCTTGTAAAACTGTTTATCCCCCTTGGGGAACACAAAGTATCTCACAAGGGTACCAATGAAATCTTGGGGGAAAGAAAAGAAAATGGGTGAGAGCCCCAAATGTGTGTGAGTTTGTGTTTATGTTATAAATATGTGCAAATTGCGTGTGTGTCCTGGGAGGGACTGTGTATTGTGTGTGTGAATTGTGAGTGTATGTGGATTGTGTATACTTTGTGCATGTGTGGAGTGTGTGTGTTTGTGTGTGGGTTCTGGGAGTGTGTGTACTGTGTGTGTATGTGTGCTCGGTGTGAGTGTGAGGACTGGGTAAGTGTGGATTGTGTATGAGTGTGTGTGTGGGCTGCATATGGGTGTGGGTGTGTGAGCATGTGGTGTGTGTGTGTGTGTGTGTGTGTGTGTGTGGACTGTGGGTGGCCTGCTCAACATTTTGGTGGATGTTTCATTCCCACCCCTTTTACTACGACCCTGGTCAGACCACTTTTATGCCTGTGACAGCTTCATGAAGCACAAAACATGGAGCAATACATGGCATGAAATTGGCAACAAAGCCGAGCAAAAGGAGGAACAATTCTCTGGCAGGATGTGTTCACAATATGGCTGATTGGATCTGGAAGCAGATGCCAGCAGCGGGTATTGTCCTAGTGACTGAAAAGACATGACCCCTCAGAAACCGAAGACAAGGAGGCTCTCCTCCCGAACCAAGGGGGAGGGGAGAAGAGGTGAAACCAATGAATAAATCAGGCAATGAAAACCGGGGAGAAAAGAAAATGCTAAAGAGGACTTTTTATGGGGAAAAGGGGGCAGTTCAGTATGCAATCACTCTCGCTCTCCAGCTAGCTGAACACTTTCTCAGACAATGGCTTTTTAACAGATGGGAGACCTAGTGAAAGAAGCCAACTTTTGCGCAGTGGAGAATCCCTGTTTGTTTAGTCTGCTGCTTGGGCAGGTGTCTGGAGAAAGGCGATCTAGCAGGTTAAGTGCTTCTGTGCCAGTTTAATATGGAGCAGCCAGGATATAAGAGGCGACTGGTTTTATTGGGGAGGACTGGGCTCATTAGAGTGGTTTCTTAAATTCTGAAGAAATAAAGCAACTGGAAGTTGCCTCCTGAAGTGCCAGCTCTTCCCCGCCCCCTTGCTGCTCACTCCCTCACCTCTCTCTCATCAGCCCTGGGAGTCAAAAAATCTGTTGAAGGGCTGTCCATCAAGTAAAGGAAGAACGAGGGATGGGAACATACCGCAGCCTGCATTCTCAAACCACACATTGTATTTCCAAATACGTTTTAAACACATAAGGCAATGAAATGGCCTTAACAGTGAAATGTAATCTTATTTTCATCAAATGGGCTTTCTGGAATTTTACATGTAATAGAGAGGGCTTTGCATTGCCCAACAGATTCTGGAGCTCTTGAGATGTGGCTGCTACCCCTAGAAGTTCTTGGCTTGGCTTCTTGTACTGTCTAGCACTGGGAGTTGGCTTGAAGGCTGTGAGTGGGATACCTTGGAGCCGTGGCTGGGGCATCTGTGGGTTCACTCTTCCAGCATAACAACTTTGCTCTTCCAGAGAGTCTCAAGAAGGTGAATGTGCTTTTTCAGAAATGAAAAAAACACCTGAAGAAGAAAAGTGTGTGGGTGAGGAGCGGGTGTGTGTTTTGCTTTGTAAAGAGGAAGTGTTTCTCCTTCACTTCAAGACATATATGTAATAGCCACCAAAAGAATTGCCAGATGAGGAAACAGGGCTTGGTTTCCAGCCTGAATTGTATTTTACCATGAAGAGTCACTAGAACGTGTTAAAGGGCAAAATGAAGAACTTGGGTTGTGTGGGTGGTGGAGATTTTCTCCCCTTTTGTTTGTGAGATGTGAGTTGTATGAAAGGAAAACACAGTCCCCCACCGATGTCCTTATCCCTTCCTACCAGATAATTCTCATGAAGAAGTATTTTATACACCAGCGTTGCCCAGGCTGGAGTGCAGGGCAATCATACCTCACTGCAGCCTTCAACTCCTGGGCTCAAGCACTCCTGCGAGTAGCTGGGACTACAGGTGTGTGCCACCACATCCAGCTAATTTTTAAAGTTTTCATAGAGTTAGGATCTCACTCTGTTGCCCAGACTTGTCTAAACGCCTGGCCTCAGTGATCCTCCCACCTTGGCCTCCTAAGGTTCTGGGGTTACAGGTGTGGGCCACTGTGCCTGGCCTTTCTAAGCCATTTTCAACTACTTTATGCCTAACTTAACAAAGGCCTTATCATGTGGACCAGTATTTGCCTCACTCTGACATATGTTTCTCCAGAGTCGGAAGCATAACTCAAGCAGCTAAGGTCACAGGGCTCCAGGAGGCAGGGCTTAGCCAGTAGGTCAAGGGCCATTCATAAGACAAAGGCTACTTTGAAAAGACTGGGGAGGATAGTCATCAGATAGGAAATTGTAAAGGAAATAAGAAACATCATTATGTTAATAATGGAGCTTGATAGTTTGTTTCTGTGCAATCTTGTGAAATACAACTTGTTTTATAAGAATTTTCAATAAAGTATTAGTTTCCTTTTGCAAAAAGTTATTAGTTTGGCATTTAGCAGCTTTCAAATATGTTGAATTTTTTTTACATAATTAAGAACCTCAATATTCTTGTTATCAAAAACATTTAGTGAGTACCTCCATGTGCAAAAAAACTGGGCTAAAGAGTCATAGGACAGAGCCCTACTGTCAAGGATCTTTGAGTCTGTCTTGAGAGATACTTCGTTCTTTTACCTCTTCCTTTGCTGTGGTTCAGATCTGATGTCACAAAACCAGTGGGGGTTGGGAGTATGCCAAAGAACAAGAATACTGAGACATTTTGCTGCAATATTTTGTGCATCCCTAAAGGCCATTTCTAAATAACAACAATGGTGATGACAACAAAATTACACCTGTCATTTATTGGGAACATACAGTGTCAAAGCACTGTGCTGAATGATCATTTATCTTTAAATGATCAGATGCGTTCAATGATCATCCAATTCTTTCACCTACTCTCTGAGGTTTCTACTCCTATTTTTGACATTTTATACATGGAGTCTGAGCTTAGAGAGATTAAGAAACTTGTATTATTTTAATAGTTGGCAGAGTTCGGATTTAAACTCAATCCTGTTAGACTTCAAAGCCATATTTGTAACCATTTTACTATGCCGATTTGTTCTGCCTGGCCTACAAATAAGAATGTATTTGTTTGTTTAATACTTATTTGTTGGATATCTACTATGTGATTAAAAAAAACGCATATATAACCACAGGCAAGGTTCCAATTAAGAAATAAATCTTAGGAGGGGCCTATGGTGAAATACAATGTGACCAAATCTTTATATATCTTGTCAAGTGTATAAACTGCAGATGGTTACAGACATAAATATTGGTAACTTCATATACCAGTTTCAGTTAGCCAAGTCTATTGAAGAATTTCACCACATTATTATTATTATTATTATTATTATTATTATTATTATTATTATTGTTATATATTTTATTTTTGAGACAGAGTCTCATTCTTGTCACCCAGGCTGGAGTGCAATGGCATGATCTTGGTTCACTGCAACCTCTGCCTCCTGGGTTCCAATGATTCTCCTGCCTCAGCCTCCCAAGTAGCTGGGATTACAGGCACCTGCCACCATGCCTGGCTAATTTTTTGTATTTTTAGTAGAGATGGGGTTTCACCATGTTGGCCAGGCTTGAACTGGTTGGTTGTCTTGAACTCCTGACCTCAGGTGATCCACCCACCTCAGTCTAACAAAGTGCTGGGATTACAATGCGTGAGCCACCGTGCCCAGCTGAATTTCACCAAATTATTTCAGCAGGTTGAAAATGTATTTTTTTAAACTATCTTCTCAATCAACAAAGCAGCAACTCAAAAACTTATTATTATTTGATTATTCTTGTAAAGATCACTTAAAAAGATTTAGAATAAAGATTATTAGCAGTCGAAATGCCCAAACTAAACTAATACTGAAATCTTCTAGGTCGGCTGTGTCATGAAACACTAAGCTGACTCTATAACAAGAAAGTGACTTTTGGTATAGATGGGAAATTTCACTTAGTGCACGCACGTCATTCCTGCTAAGCTCCTCCATCAGTGGCCTCGCTATGGTTCCTGCACCCCATCTGACATCCAGATTCAGTGTAAACATGATTCAACTTGAATGAAAAAATTACTTTAAATTTTCATAAAGAAAACAGGAATGGTCTGGGCGTGGTGGCTCACACTTGTAATCCCAGCACTTTGGGAGGCCAAGACGGGCGGATCACCTGAGGTCAGGAGTTCGAGACCAGTCTGGCCAACATGGTGAAACCCTGTCTTTACTAAAAATCCAAAAAAATTAGCTGGGCGTGGTGGCGTGCACCTGTAATCCCAGCTACTCGGGAGGCTGAGGCAGGAGAATTGGTTGAACCTGGGAGGTAGAGGTTGCAGTGAGCCAAGATTGCACCACTGCACTCCAGCCTGGGTGACAAGAGCGAAACTCCATCTCAAAAAAAAAAAAAAAAAAAAAGAAAAGAAAAGAAAAGAAAAAGAAAACAGCAATGGAGTCTTCTACTATCTCTGTTAAATGGTTGTGTGGATTGTGGTTTTATAGTTCTTCACCATGACAAAGATGAGAGGACACAGAAAAGAAACTGGTGTTCTTGTCTAAATGCCAGTTGAAAGAAGAATGCTGTCAAATCTCTTCATTCACCAACTAAAATTTGGACATACATGATTTTAAGATCCTATTTAATAAAAATCCAGTTTGAGAAAGACCTTACCATTATAACTTTGACTCTCTTCTGTTCCACAGCAGGGATTAGCACAAATGCTTCTATTCATGCTTTGTAAGTACTTATTAAATATTTACTGAAAGAATAAATGAATGCACATCTTTTCCTGCCATTATTCTAGACTGTATGCAACTTGAAAGCCCAGACCAGCTTACTTCTGTTTCTGGTCCCAGCCATCTGCTCCCTACTAAATGTTCAACATATATTTGTTGAATGAATACATTTATTATCTTCATTTTACAGACAAGGAAACTAAGGCAGAGAAAGGTTAAATAGTCAGCCTAGATATATGACCAGTGAGTGGTGGGGAGTAAGTTTTGGAATCCAGTCTCAGAGGAGGAGTTCTTGACCATTGTAATAATGTGTGGCAGGTTAAAGAAGTTCACAAGTTATTTGACATTCCTCTCATCTAGAGATGGGATCTATGCCCCTCTCCCCTGGAATTTGGGTCCCCTGATCCTAACCCTAACCTTATGACTTCTTAGATTAACTGAATATAGAGGAGATGATATTGTGACAGTTTGGGGCTCAGGATTTAAAGATTGGCTGCTTTCACTTCTTTTCTTGTTAGGATACCTAAGCTACCATGCAAGAAGTCAGACTGCCCCATGATTGGCATGCTTGAGAGGCCTCTTGTAAGTGCTCCAGGTGAGATCCCAGCCATGCCCCAGCCTTCCAGCCACCCGCACTAAGACACCAGACTGTGAGTGAAACCATCTTGTCTAGCCATTCAGTCTAGTCCATCTGCTAGCTGGGTACCACCAAGTGTTCTCAGTAAATGCAATGTGAAAGAAAAGAAACTCCCAGATGACTCCAGAATCCCCAACCTATTAAACTGTGAGAAACTGAAAAATGATGATGATGACACCACCACCACCACTACCACCAACACTAACAATAACAAGACTGCTGTTGTAAGCCACTAAACTTTAGGGTAGTTGATCACATATAGGAATAGGTAACCGGGAAGAAATATGCAATTGAGTGGAAAAATAGAGAGATCCACAAACCTGAAGTGTGAAGAACACCTGTGAGAGGACAAAAAGAAATAAAGAGAATTGCTTTTGTTGTTGGAAGTTACTAAAAACTGCCTAGTCACAGGTGACTTAGATTATGCATTCTTGACACAGGCAAAATACAATAAGGATGGGTGAATTATTCTGCTAAAAGGTGAGCGTGAGAGTAAATATGGACTCATTTTGCTAATAATTTGAATGCTTAAGTGGTAGAGGATGTTTGTTACAAAGAGAACTGATCCTTAACTAGAGATTACTACTTGCATGTCTAATATGCATCTCAAAACTAACAGGTCCAATACCAAGTCAGGGTTTCCACTCTTTCTTTCCCAAACTACTTGTCTTCAGTCTGACACATCTCAGTGAATGATAACCATATTTGCAGTTTCTTAGGCTCAAAAATTTGAAGTTTTTGACTCTGTCCACATCCAACATTCAATCCATTAGCAATTGTATCTATATTACCTTCAAATCACAGCAATTTCATGGGAAGGCAATAACAAGCTTAGAATGGAGAAAAATAAAAGAATCCCACAATTATATTTTAAAAATTGATGAGTGTATTAGTCTGTTCTCATGCTGCTAATAAAGATATACTGGAGATGGTAATTTATTAAGGAAAGAGGTTTAATTGACTCACAGTTCCGTATGGCTGGGGAGGCCTTACAATCATGGTGGAAGGCAAATGAGGAGCAAAGTCACATCTTACATGGGGGCAGGCAAGAAAGAGCTTGTGCATAGGAGCTCCCATTTATAAAACCTTCAGATCTCATGAGACTTATTCATTATCATGAGAATAGTATGGGAGAAACTGCCCCCATGATTCAATTATCTCCACCTGGACTCATCCATGATACATGGGGATTATTACAATTCAGGGTGAGATTTGAGTGGGGACACAGGCAAATCATATCAATGAGTTTTTTAATTGTAAGATTAAAAAAAGAAGCAATTTAGAGCCACCATAGTTTAGAATAATGTGCTTCATGCCTTAGGCATTGTTGTTTTTCTCCCCAATATTTGACCAGGATTAGTGTTACATGGAACAAACTTTGGGGAAAGCTGCTGTGGGCATCAGATATCCTATACTTAGTAAACTGATAGTTTTTATAATATCCTTGTGGACATGAAAGAGAAATGTGGGATAAGTGAGAATATTGTCAGGTGAATTTACATCTGATCAAACATTTACAACAAATGATAAAGAGACCAATTTTAATATAGTTTTTCAATGGCCATGCCTAATTTTTTAATCAATAGATTAAAGTGAAATACAGAAGCTTGGCAAATTTGTAGGTACTCCCCAAATTGGGTAAGCTAGCTGATTGATTCGGTAGATTCAAAATCTTTTCTTTAGATCAGAATGTTGGATTGAAAGCATCAAGGAGATAATGTGCAGGCATCAGTAGAAATATTTACATACTTAATGTTCTGGAAAAGTATGCTAATTAAATATAATATTGAGGTAAACTTTGCCTGGCAATAGTTTATGTGAGGAAGACAAGTTTACCTAGTTGCAAAAGCATGGTCATGCAATATTAATCTGTATTTATAGAGAAGTCTAGATAAAGGGGCCTGATAAATACATGTGCAAATGTCATAAACTTGCTCAAGTTACGATTTTAAGTCACCTATTAATTGTGGAAGTCTGGTCACCTCTACTCAATCATATTATTCCTTGTTTCTCTGGTCAACAATCACCCATTCCCAAATCTTGCCAGTTCCTATTACCTTAAGCCCTTACTTCAAGCCTTCTTTACCTTTCCTTTGCTTATTCCTCTTCTCTCTTAGGCAAGATAGATCCAGCTGCTACAAAAGCCCTCCAAATTTCTTACATTTCTTATGTAATATATTATGGGTGATTATAAATTAACCCCCAGATTTTAGTGGATTTTTAACTCACACAATAATTCAATGGAGGTTTTCTTTGTTAGGTAGATCTCCTATTTCCCTCTCTAGCTTTTGTGTGCAATACCTCTAGCAAAAATCCCAAATGAGTTACTGAACATAGAGTTCATAGAAGAAATAAGATATGTTTACTATTATATTTCTAGATTCAGCAAAGTTATTGGCTTTATTAATTTATTTAACAGATATTTATCGAGTGCCAACTTTATGTTAGCTATTGTTTTAGGTGCTGCTAAAACTGACAAACAAGCAAAAACGTTTGTGTTTTCATAGACTTGGTATTATAGGTGAGGAGACATAATTAAACACATTATCAATGGATGAGATAATTTCTGATAATGATAGAACTGTGAAGAAAATACAACTGGATGATGTGATGGAGATTATAGTGGGAGATATTTTAGATTGGTAGACTCTTTTGAAAAGATGACATTTGAGCTGTTACTGTCAGGATGAAGCTGGCCACTCTAAGATCTGGTGAGAGGGTGTATCATGCAGAGTAAGCTGTGATGCAAAGGCTCCAAGTAACAATGAGCTTGGTATGTTCAAGGACCAAGACCTCCCAAATCGGGGTTAAGGTCTTATAGGCCCATATAGGCTAATGGCTCCATATGTGCTAAGGAGTTTGGATTTTATTCTGAATGCAGTGAGAAGGCAATTGAGGGATTTCAGCAGGGAGTAATATTAACTAATCTACCCATTTTAAAGTTGGCTATGGCTGCTGTGTGGAGACTATATTTGAAAAGGGCTAGAGCAGAAACAGGCAGTTGCAGTAATGCAGGCAAGAGACACTGGACTTCATTGAGGTGATGGTAACAGTGGAAATACATAGAAATGAACAAACATGGGGTATTCTTTGGAGTGAGAGTTGACAGAACTTATTAATAGACTTGGATTTTGCATTAGTGGTGGTGCCATTTAATGAGATGGGGAAGACTGGTAAAAGGTGGGGAAGTAAGTCGTCCTTATTCAAAGTTTGAGTTACCAATTCAGGATCCAAATAGAACTATCAAGCAGGTAACTGGATATACAGAACTGAAGTATAATGGATGGGTTGGAACTGGAGTCACTGGCCATTTGCAAGACGGCTACAGCAGTTTCTTGTATCCATCCAAATAAGCAGAAAAGAGTCATCCTTGCTTTGTCTCTAAGAGAGAAGAAACTTTATCATACTTATCCTCATGTTCATTGGCTACAATTGCATCACATGACACTGTGTAAGCCAGCCGTTGGCCAGGGGAAAAGGATCACCATGGTTGGCATGGCTTAATCAAAACCATTCCCTGGGCTGAGGTTAGGGCCAATCTTCAGCAACATGGACAAGACAATATGGACAAGAATAGAGGTGTGGACAGCTCAGGGTTCTTTTGGAAAGGAAGAAAGAAGTGATAGACATTAGAGAGGCAACAAAGATTCTAGTTAAAGTCCAATTTGACTTGTTTGCTATTAAATGGGGCAGTATATTACCTCAGAGAGTGTATGTGAGGTTATACGACACCATGGTGTGAAAGCTTTTTGTAAACTATAAAATAGTATAGAATAGGTAAGTTAGTCTGAGTCAGACTATTCCTAATATTTTCCCATTTTTCCTGTGTTATGTCAATATTTGTTTTGATGCTGCTTAATTAGTTTTTCAAAGCCTTAAGATAGAAATTGAAGATGATAAAAGTAGGTGCCCTTAGCATATTTGCTTTCCAAGAGATTCATGTCTTTCCCTTACTACATATTGCTAATGTTTTTCTCCTTCTTTCTTATATCCACAAGCCCCTTCACATGAAAAATGGTACCATTTTGAAATTAGATATTTATGGAAAGGAAATGCTTATTAATAAAAACCTGCTGAACTCTTCTGAGGCATTCATTTGCCCATTGATAGCCACACATAAGAAAATGACTTAACCTTAGGTCAGCTGTTGACAGAGTTGAAATGATCATTTTACAGTTATTGAGGGCCTACAGAATGGTAGGTTCTGATGAGAACATATAATAAATGTAATCCCTGACCTAGAATGTGGGAATTACTTGTTGCAATTATAGGTTCAATGAACATTGTAATCTACCTGCTTTTAAAGCTGTAACTGTGCCTTTTCACTTAAACCTTAAAGTCATAGTAAAAATAATGTAGTTTTTTCAAAGATAATTTTATTTCATTTTGTATCTCCATTTTTTTTGGCTTAAAAAGAACATAAACTTTGAAAAATTAAATCTACATAGAATAAAATGACAATGAACCAAACTTTGGTGTGGAGATGGAGGTTGGGGATTCTTGGTTGAAGTGGAGAGCATGGGCTTGTATTTTTATTTTCATTTTTGTACCATATTCTTTAACTCTTTGCCATTCATCAGAAATTATTGGTGTGACTTGTTAATGGAAAACTCTTTGGACTGTGTTGATGGTAAGTGAGAATCATTGGTTTTATGCCGTGGTACACCGACTTCTATTGTCAAAGGCTGTCAGCACTAGGTGCTTGCCTGATACAAAATGGTATCTTCCTCTCAGATTTGCTTTCATTACAAGTGCGTTTAGGGGCAGGCACAGGGCTATATTGTGTAGCAGCACTTTGTTTTTAGCCATTTATTAATTCTACAAATATTGCATGCCTAACATATGCCAGGCTCTGTACTAGTGGGGGACTAGTATTTTAAATAAAATAAATATAATCTTACACTTTATGGAATATGTCATTAGCAAGGAATACAGTTATTACACTAATAATCAGGTCTGACTCTAATGTTTGTGGGGCCTGAGGCCAGAGTAACAATGGGAGCCACATATCAAATATTTAAAGATTTTAAAGTGATCAGTTAAGCTATGCTTTGTCTCAGTTCATGCTCCTGTTCACAGCCTTGATGCTCCACAGCCCAGGGATTACCCCTGTGATCTGGAGGCTAAAGGAGACCCATCTCCCCAAGGTTAGTCTTGCCATCTTGACCCTGAGTGGCAACAGTTGCTGCTGGCACAGGGCAAGGGAGAAGGTGAGCTAGAGGTTCAGTCCTTGGGACTAAAGTCACCCGAAACTGGCCTAGGAACACATTGTTCAAGTGTCCAGGGAACTGGAATAGGGAGGTCCCATCCCTCATATATCACTTTCTCACACCCTTTTGTTAGGTGGTTCTAAGTATTAATACCTCTCCACTACAAGGGATGAAAGGGATGGTGTGCAACTTACTGGGAAATCCTGTCTGCTTTGGGTATTCTGGGGCAGACAACTTTAAATGGCCTCTTGCTATCTCATATCTCAGGGCAGAGGCTGAGCTTGTCTTCTCCCTGACATCTGCTCTCTTGTTCTCAGCCCGCCATACTCTGGCCTGCATTATTCAGTTTGTTCAGTGCATCCCTCTTCCCTAATTCACTAAAAAATAAACTGAACTGTCAACATGCTTTCTTTTGAGACTGAAAAAAATTGTATGTGCATTTTAATGTTCGTGGTATGTATGGTTCTCTAAAGCAAGAGGCCCAGGACAAAACCCTTCTTGCCTGGATTTAGGTCAGGTTGCCAATAATCTTACACATACTTGTGTAGTTACAAGTCATGATAAGTGTCATGAAGGAAGAAAACAGAGGGCTGAGGGCTAGGAGGGAGTACCTACAGGATCCCAGTGTAGAGGGGTAGTAATGGGCTGTGTACATCAGGCAAGACCTCCTGGAGGAAGAGATATGTCATCTGAGACTGGAGCATAGGCCATGATTGACACCAAATCTAAGCAATGTCCTCAACTTGACTAACCCATTTCATGCAATAAGGTATAGAGTCTACAATTTAGGCTTTTTACAAAATACAATTTTCATGTTTAGTTGCTCTTTATAAAAGTAATACCTGTTCATTATAAAATAATTGAGTAATTTACTAAGGTAAATAAATATGGCTATTTTCCTTAAGGTAAAATGATGACTATTTCCTGTAAGTCCATCTCTCAGAGTAAATTTGAAATTTACATATGATTTAATTTTCTTCTAGATTTTTTCTCGTGCATACAACAATTTTTCTTTGTGGATATAAAAATAATCACTTATTTTGTAATCTTTCACTGCTCCAAGGTGGGGCTCTTTCCTATCTCCATGGTTAACTAATTACGTACGTTCTAACTCCCAGCAGTGGGGTCTGGAGGGCACTGAGCATGCATTCCTTAGTATGGGGTAGATAAAATGTGGGTATCTAACTGAACCTAAAGCTAAGATCCCTTTAGTTCTTGTGTCATTATGCATGAACCTAACGACTTCTAGGCTGTGGTGTAAAATCTAATAGGCTGGAAATGATTGCAGTTCAGTTATTGTTCCCTTCCCAAATGGTCTTCCTTATTTTCAGATGATGCCTGAGGTTGCAGTATTTGTCCCCTTTTTAATGCCTGGGCACCCTGTCTTCTTTCTCTCTATATTTGTAATCACACTTCAGGCCAGTTCTGTGAGTATGCTCCACACCAATTAATGAGCTGTTTTTTGGATTTGTTAGCTATTCTTACCTATGTTGACCCAGGGACTAAATTTAGAGGGTCCTAAACATAGATTCAATTTCTGGGTCAGTCACTTACTGATGGTGTAAATGTGGACAGACCACTTCACTTCTTAGTGTCTTCCTTGAAACACAAGATATCAGAGTTTGCTCTGTCCTCCGCATAGGGGCAATGTGAAATTACATTGAGATAATGTGTGTGAAGGAGCTTTGTAAATTGTAAAGCTTGTACCACTCATTTCTAGGACAAGCTTCCACTTAACTGAGAAATCACTGCTTCTATCTGTCTTTTAATGATCACTTCCAGAGTACCATTTCTTGAGAAGCATGTCCTGAACCAATGAGACAAGGGATAGAACGTGTACCCATTTTAATGCCTCCAACATGAAAACACTTCTTTTATATAGTGAAGTTTATACATAATTTTGTATATAGCTTCCTTTGGTTTAGAATATAGCTTAACATTTATAAATAACCACTACACAAATATTCCCCAATTTTAAACATACTTTCTTTATGGAAATTCTGATGGCAAGATAAAGGGAACCTGCATTTTTAATCAGTTGGCGGTCTGCATTTTTTAATGGTTGATATAGAATTATGGTCTATTATCTATAGTTTGTTACAAATAATGCCTAGGAAAGGATTTAGGTGATTCATTAGGTGGTAATTTAGGTCCTTGCATATTATTGTTGTTAATTAATGATAATAAAAACAATCCAAATGTTGGAATAGGGAGAGATGACACCAGATTTGATAGACCTTCTTGAGAAGGTTCCAATACCCCATAGAGTGGGGGCTTTGGTTTGAGCAGTTTTGTTGACCACTTTCATGATCTCTGAAGCTGAAGCCAAGATGAGTTATCACTCATTTAATGTGTAGGCTGTTTTTTCCCCCACTATCCCTAATTGTAAATTATACAATTTCAACCTCTACAGCCAGCATTTAATATATCTGACTTTATTGCTTTCCATTTTATGAAAATTAATTACAGTTCACATTCTGACACTGAAATTAAAGGGTAAGCACTAAATCTTGTACACAACAATAGGAAATTAAGAGAACATTCTTTATAATCAGAATAATGAAGACCAGAGATGCTTGTTTTTCTTCTCTTAAGGCACTGGGGAGTGAGATAAAACCAGATTTAAACAGGACATTGCCCCTCCAACAATTCATGCCATTGCAGCCTGAAAAACAGAATAAAATCATAACACTTTAATTTAAAAATTCCAACCTCTTCCATTTCATTTAGAGGGGAATTATTTTGTGATAACATCTTAGGCTACAGAACTCTGTTCCTGGGGGCTGTTTTACCAGGGAACCAAGACATTTAGGAGAGGAAGCTGATTAGTATCAATCATGGACCAACTTCAGTGGATTCAGTGAATGTTTCTAAAAGAAAAAACAGTTTTGTAAAAATAAAAATTAAGATAAATGGCAAAGAGCTTGAAATGTATATGTGATATAAATGTGTTTCTTTTGGTAGCCTATCTGGCCACAGGTTTCTGAAGGGCAGCAACAGTATATAATATTCCATTTGATAAGCATTTTACAGTTTGCAAATGCAATGGACCAAGTTCTTATGTTCTGTTCTCCCCCCAGTTTATATGTTGAAATCCTATCTCCCAAGGCAAGGAGATTAGGAGGTAGGGCCTTTGGGAAGTGTAATGGTTTGAATGTGTTCCCCAAATTTCATGTGTTGGAAACTTAATCTCCAAATTCATACATTGATGGCATTTGGAGGTGGGGCCTTCAGAAGGTAGTTAGGCCTAGATATGATCATCAGCATGGGCCAACCATGATAGAACTGGTGGCTTTATAAGAAGAAGAAGAAGAGAGACTTGAGAGAACTTGGCATGTTCTTGGCCTCTCACCATGTGATGGCCTCTCCATGCTATGACTCAGCAAGAAGGTCCTCCCCAGATGCCAGTGCCATGCTCTTGGACTTCCTAGTCTTGAGAACCATGATCTAAATAAATGTACTTTTCTTATAAATTATCCAGTCTGTGGTGTTCTGTTATAGCAATAGAAAATGGGCTAAGACAGGAGGTGACTCTATTGTTAAGGGGAACTCTCATGATTGGGATCAATGCTCTTATAAAAGAGACTCCAGAGAACTAGCTAGCCCTTTCCTCCATGTGGGACACAGTGAGAAGGCACCATTATTGAACCAGAAAGCAGTCTGTAACCAGACACTAAATCTGCTGGTACCTTGATCTTGGACTTCTCAATCTCCAGAACTGTGAGAAATAAATTTCTGTTCTTTATAAGCTATCTAGTGTATGATTTTGTTAGAGAAGCTTGAATAGATTAAGACAGCAGGGTATTTTCATATACATCACTTAATTTAGCACTCACAATAATCTAGTGAGAAACATATTTTTAAAAATAGATCAAGCAACTGTGTTTACTCTACATAGTATTAGCGCAGTCATTTCCAAATCTTTTTTGGGGGGTAATAGATTCATTAAAAAATTATGACCAAACCCAACATATAAAACATATGAAAGCGGGGTGAAAAGATAAATGGGTAAAAACCTGTTCACTTGGTCTTCCCAGTCCTTAAATATATTACCAAGGTACTTCTATGGGGATTCATGAAGCACAGTTTGAAAATTGATGTCATAAAATGTAAAGTGTTCAATAAATGTTGTCCAAGCAGCATTCATTGTGCCCTCCCTATGTACAATGACGTAGTATCTGATGGAGTTCTGTTATTTCTTTCTCCTGGCCCAGTCTCCTTCTGATAATAATAGAAGGCATGTCTTTGAAAGGCCCTAAAATAAGGATGGCACTGGCATCTGTCCTTGCTTACTTACCTAAAAACTAAATAAAAAATTAAAAATATTTGACAGATCTTTTTCTGCATTATTATGAAATATGCTCAACTAGGTATTTGCATATTTTAGGGCAATGCTTTTGTGTATGTGTTGAAATTTACCACAACTACATTTTGGCTTCCTAATGTTAAAAGGTGTGTTGAAACATGTAAGCCCAAATAAATTAGTGTTACCAAATTTCATGAATCAAGTGTTGGTAACTACAAGTTCTCTTTCCCTGTGGCTTATAATCTATAAGACCCTTCTATTGGAAAAAACAATGTCTTGTAATGTTTTGTTGACTGCTAAGTTTTGAGAAACAGAATTTTTTTTATGACATCATTCATTGACATACACCTGAGGTTTTGTGTACTTGGCTTGAGTAAAAGACTATGGCTAGAAATTGTCCTCAGTTCTGTCTCAATATTGGCAACCACAGTTGCTACTCTGGATACATGACTCTGCATTTAAATTCCATTCAATTAATTCAAGTAAATTCACTGTTTTCATTGAGTGACTACTGTGTGTCAAATGCTGCTCTAGCTGCCTAAGATACATCAGTGAACAGAGGAGTCTCTGTGAGCTTATAGTCTAGTGAGGGAGTCAGACAAGTAAGCAAAGAGTTACAGGAAATGTAAAAAATTCTTTGAAATCAGTACAGGGTCCTATGTCAAGGCATCATAGAGGAATTTAATTTAGGGTTAGGAAGTGATATCTAAAGGATATCAAAAGGAAGTGGTGTTGGATAAAAAACAAAACTGATAGATTCAGAAGGGAACTTCTGGAATAGCAGATTAAGAAACTAGTTATTTTTCTCTCCTCAAAAATCAATAATAGAACTAGATAGAACTATCAAAAACAATCATGTAAGTACTCTATAAATAGATCAAAGGCGTACAACAAATTTAGAAATATTTATTTAAGTAAAACAACTGAAATTCAAGTAAAAGTGTGAGTCTGTGGCATTTTAGCCCTTCAGCTCTATTGGTATGGAAATTCTAACAGGGTAGGGCAAGCTATGGGAACTACTTGAGGGGAATGATTTGATTTAGAGCAGGTGCAAGTCAGCGGCATTGCAAACAGTAGCAATCTCAGTGGCAAACAATCAGAAAAGGCCACCCTCACAGCTAGCTTGAGGTTGCCATTAGGTTGGGGTAAGCGACAGACTAGTAGACTAGCTAGTTTCTAGTAGACTAGACTAGAAATTTAACAAAGAAAATGAGGTGGCCATAGTGAGTCTGAATAAGCTTCCACATACTCATGGTGGTTTGGAAGGATGCACACTTGTAAAAGGTTATACACATGCTCAAGAGAGACTGGAGAGGTCATAGCTATCTACCACTCTCTGGATGAATGTAAGGCACCTGCTTTAAATCAAGTCACCCCCCTCTCTAAACATGGTTCAAGACAACATGAAAAGACCTAGCAAAAACCAAAAGCAGAACAGCATTTTAAGATGACTGAACTTATGTATGAGGACATGCGGTGTTTGGTTTTCTGCTCCTGTGTTAGTTTGCTGAGAACGATGGCTTCCAGGTTTATCCAAGTCCCTGAAAAGGACAAGATCTCATTCTTTTTTATGGCTGCATTGTATTCCATGGTGAATATGTGCTGCATTTTCTTTATCCAGTCTACCATCGATGGGCATTTGGGTTGATTCCATGTCATTGCTATTGTGAATAGTGCTGCAATAAACGTACATGTGCATGTGTCTTTATAACAGAATGATTTACATTCTTTTGGGTATATACCCAGTAAATGGGATTGCTGGGTCAAATGATATTTCTGGTTCTAGATCCTTGTGGAATCCCCATGCTGTCTTTCACAATGGTTGAACTAATTTACATTCCCATCAATAGTATAAAAGCATTCCTATTTCTCCATAGCCTCACCAGCATCTGTTGTTTCTTGACTTTGTAATAATTGCCATTCTGACTGGCATGAGATGGTATCTCACTGTGGTTTTGATTTGCATTTCTCTAATGATCAGTGATGTTGAGCTTTTTTTTCATGTATTGGTGGCCACATAAATGTCTTCTTTTGAGAGTATTTGTTCATGTCCTTTGACATGATGGGGTTGTTTTTTTCTTGTAAATTTGTTTAAGTTCCTTGTACATTCTCGACATTAGACCTTCGTCAGATGGATACATTACAAAAATTTTCTCCCATTCCGTAGGTTGTCTGTTTACTCTGATGATAGTTTCATTTACTGTGCCGAAGCTCCTTAGTTGAATTAGGTCACACTTGTCAATTTTTGCTTTTGTTGCAATTGCTTTTGATGTCTTGACCATGAAATCTTTTCCTTTGCCTATGTGCTGAATGGTATTGCCCAGATTTTCTCT
Organism: Homo sapiens; assembly: GCF_000001405.40. Lineage (NCBI taxonomy): Eukaryota > Metazoa > Chordata > Mammalia > Primates > Hominidae > Homo > Homo sapiens. The sequence goes on along the minus strand of NC_000004.12, from coordinate 84,346,485 downwards.
TAGGATTTTTACCATTTTGGGTTTTACATTTAAGCTTTTAATCCATCTTGAGTTAATTTTTGTATAAGGTATAAGGAAGGGGTCCAGTTTCAATTTTCTGCCTATGGCTAGCCAGTTTTCCCAGCACCATTTATTAAATAGAGAATCCTTTCCCCATTGCTTGTTTTTGTCAGTTTTGTCGAAGATCAGATGGTTGTAGATGTGTGGTCTTATTTCTGAGATCTCTATTCTGTTCCATTGCTCTATGTGTCTGTTTTGGTACCAGAACCATGCTGTTTTGGTTACTGTAGCCTTATAGTATGGTTTGAAGCCAGGTAGCATGGTGCATCTAGCTTTGTTCTTTTTGCTTCGGATTGTCTTTGCTATCTGGGCTCTTTTTTGGTTCTATATGAATTTTAAGGTAGTTTTCTCTAATGCCATGAAGAATGTCAATGGTAGTTTAATGGGAATAGCAATGAATCTATAAATTACTTTGGGCAGTATGGCCATTTTCATTATACTAATTCTTCCTATTCAAGAGCATGGAATGTTTTTCCATTTGTTTGTGTCCTCTCGTATTTCCTTGGGCAGTTTTTATGTTCTCCTTGAAAAGGTCCTTTACATCCCTTGTTAGCTGTATTCATAGGTATTTTATTTTCTTTTTAGCAACTGTGAATGGGAGTACATTCATGATCTGGCTCTCTGCTTGTCTATTGTTTGTGTATAGGAATGCTTGTGATTTTTGCGCATTGATTTTGTATCCTGAGACTTTGCTGAATTTGCTTATCAGCTTTTGCACTGAGACTGGGGTTTTCTATATACAGGATCATGTCATCTGCAAACAGAAACAATTTGACTTCCTCTCTTCCTATTTGAATATCCTTTATTTCTTTCTTTTGCCTGATTGCCCTGGCCAAAACTTCAAATACTATGTTGAATAGGAGTGGTGAGAGAGGGCATCCTTGTCTTGTGCCAGTTTTCAAAGGGAATGCTTCTGGCTTTTGACCATTCAGTATGATATTGGCTGTGGGTTTGTCATAAATGGCTTTTATTATGTTGAGATATGTTCTATCAATACCTAGTTTACTGAGAGTTTTTAATATGAAGGGTGGTAAATTTTATCGAAGGCCTTTTCTGTGCCTATTGAGATAACGATGTGGTTTTTGTCATTGGTTCTGTTTATGTGATGAATTATGTTTATTGATTTGCATATGTTGAACCAGCCTTGCATCCTAGGGATGAAGTTGACTTGATTCTGGTGCATAAGCTGTTTGATGTGTTGCTGGAATTGGTTTGCCAGTATTTTATTGAAGATTTTTGCATCAATGTTTGTCAGGAATATTGACCTGAAGTTTTTTGTCGTTATTGTTGTATCTCTGCCAAGTTTTGGTATCACAATGGTGCTGGCCTCGTAAAATGAAATAGGGAGAAGTCCCTCCTTTTCAATTGTTTGGAATAGTTTCAGAAGTACCAGCTCCTCTTTGTACCTCTGGTAGAATTCAGCCATAAATCCTTCTGGTCCTGGGCTTTTTTTTGTTGGTAGGCTATTTATTGCTGCCTCAATTTCCAAACTTGTTATTGGTCTATTCAAGGATTCTACTTCTTCCTGGTTTAGCCTTGGGAGAGTGTGTGCGTCCAGGAATTTATCCATTTCTTCTAGATTTTCTAGTTTATTTGCATAAAAGTGTTTCTAGTATTCTCTGATAGTTGTTTGTATTTCTGCAGGTCAGTGGTGATATCACTTCTATCATTTTTTATTGTGTCTATTTGATTCTTCTCTGTTTTCTTCTTTATTAGTCTAGCTAGCAGTCTATTTTATGAATTTTTTTTCAAAAAAACACCTCCTGCATTCATTGATTTTTTTAAAGCATTTTTTTTGTGTCTCTGTTTTCTTCAGTTCCACTCTCACCGTTATTTATTGTTTTCTGCTAGCTTTTGGATTTGTTTGCTCTTGCTTCTCTAGTTCTTTCAGTTGTGATGTTAGGGTGTCGATTTTAGATCTTTCTTGCCTTCTGATGTGGGCATTTAGTGCTATAAATTTTCCTCTGTACACTGCTTTAGCTGCATCCCAGAGATGCTGGTACATTGTCTCTTTGTTCTAATAGGTTTTAGAGAACTTCTTGATCTCTGCCTTAATTTTATTATTTACCCAGGAGTCTTTCAGGAGCATGTTGTTCAATTTCCATGTACTTGTGTGATTTTGAGTGAGTTTCTTTTTTTTTGAGACGGAGTCTTGCTCAGTTGCCCAGGCTGGAGGGCAGTGGTGCAATCTTGGCTCACTGCAAGCTCTGCCTCCCGGGTTCATGCCGTTCTCCTCAGCCTCCTGCCTCAGCCTCCTGAGTAGCTGGGACTACAGGTGCCTGCCACCATGCCTGGCTAATTTTTTTTTTATTTTTAGTAGAGATGGGGTTTCACCATGTTAGCCAGGATGGTCTTGATCTCCTGACCTCGTGATCCACCTGCCTTGGCGTCCCAAAGTGCTGGGATTACAGGCTTGAGCCACCTCACCCAGCCTTGAGTGAGTTTCTTTATCTTCAGTTCTAATTTGATTGCACTGCTATCTGAGAGACTGTTTGTTATGATTTCCGTTGTTTTGTTTTTGCTGAGAAGTGTTTTACTTCCAACTTTGTGATCAATTTTAGAGTAAGTGCCTTGTGGCACTGAGAAGAATGCATATTCTGTGGGTTTGGGTTGGAGAGTTGGATAGATATCTGTCAGGTCCACCTGATCCAGAGCTGAGTTCAAGTCCTGAATATCCTTGTTAATTTTCTGTCTCAATATTGACAGTGGGGTGTTAAAGTCTCCCACTATTATTTTGTGGGAGTCTAAGTCTCTTTGTAGGTCTCTAACAACTTGTTTTATGAATCTGAGTGCTCCTGTATTGGATACATTTGTATTTAGGATTGTTAGCTCTTCTTGTTGAATTGATCCCTTTACCATTATGTAATGGCCTTCTTTGTCTTTTTTGATATTTGTTGGTTTAAAGTCTGTTTTGTCAGAAACTAAGATTGCAACCTCTGCTTTTTTCTGCTTTCCATTGCTTGGTAAGTTTTCCTCCATCCCTTTATTTTGAGCCTATGTGTGTCTTTGCATGTGAGATATGTCTCTTGAATACAGCACACCAATGGGTCTTGACTCTTTATCCAATATGCCAGTCTGTGTCTTTTAATTGGGGCATTTAGCCCATTTACATTTAAGGTTAATATTGTTACATGTGAACTTGATCCTGTTATCTGATCCTAGCTGGTTATTTTGCAGACTAGTTGATGCAGTTTCTTCATAATGTCATTGGTCTTTTACTTCAGTATGTTTTTTCGGTGGCTGGTACCAATTTTTCCTTCCCATTTTTAGTGCTTCCTTCAGGAGACCTTGTAAGGGAGGCCTGGTGGTGACAAATTACCTCAGCATTTGCTTATCTGAAAAGGATTGTATTTCTTCTTCATTTACGAAGCTTAGCTTAGCCAGATGTGAAATTCTGGGATGGAAATTATTTTCTTTAAGAATGTTGGGCCGGGCGCAGTGGCTCACGCCTATAATCCCAGCATTTTGGGAGGCCGAGGTGGGTGGATTACCTAAGGTCGGGAGTTTGAGACCAGCCTGACCAACATGAAAAAACCCCATCTCTACTAAAAATACAAAATTAGCCGGGCGTGGTCTCACCCAGCTGGGGGGCATGGGATCCAGGACCCACTTAATGAAGCATTCTGGCTGTCCCTTGGTGGAGGGGGTGTGCTGCTAGAGCTAGGAAAACCCACTTGTCTGTTCAGCCTGGATTTCTCAGAGCTAGCAGGGGGAAAGACTGTGTGTGCTGGTCAATGGAGACCATGGTCACCCCTTCCCCTAGGGGTTCAGGCCCAGGGAGATCAGAGTTCTGTCCCTAAGCCCTTGGCTATAGTTGCTGAAGTTCCTGTAGGGAGGCCCCACCCATTGAGGAGGGATGGGTCAGGGTTTGGCCTAAAGAGGCAGTCTGGCCACAATCTGCCGCAGCCAGTGTGCTGCACTGTGGGGAATACTGCTTGAGTCCAAGCTGTCTGGTCCCCCTTATACTAGCACGGGAAAAATGGCTGCCTGGAGCAGTAGTGATGGCTGCTGCCCTTCCCCTCTGGGAGTTCAGTGTCTAAGGCAGCTGGCAGCTGCAATGATGGCTGCCATCCCTTCCCCCAGGGAGCTTAGTTTTCTTAGGCAGCTGCAGGGATGATGGCCACCCCTCCCCCTGGGAATTTGGCAGTCTTAGGCAGACTCTAGCAAAGTGACTTTTGAGAATCTGCACAGCTCTGTGTTTGGGACCCAAGGTCCTTGTGGCATAGGCTCACGAGTGGGATCTCCTGATCTGCAGATTGCATAGATCTGTGGAAAAAGCATGGATTCCCAGGCTGGGTAACATGCTCACTCCCTGCCTCTTTTGCCTGGGACCTTGGGGCTCCCCTTGCCCCATGTGGCTCTCAGGTGGGCTGACACACCACCCTGCTTTTCCTTGGTCTCCTTGGGTCATGCCAACCATCTAATCAGTCCTGATGATAGAACTTGGATACATCAGTTACCAGTGGGAACCTCCAACTGCAGCTGTTTCTAGTCAGTCATCTTGGCCTTGCCCCCCAAACATTGAATGCATTCAAACTCTATTGGCTCAAGATGATTAAGCACAACTTTTCACCAATCTTTCACTGATGACTAAGCTATGCTAAGCAACAGACAACTCTTAGGAAGACAGGCTTAACTATGAAAACAAGAATTTAAAAACAACAAACTCAGCATAAACATCAGCAGCTAAGCACTGTAAGGGAGGAAGATTCTATAGTCTGTCAAACACTAAACAAGCAATAACTTCCTGGGGAGGGAAGGAGATCAAAACCTAAAGTTGTTACATTGTGCAAAATGCCTAGTTTTTAATAAAAAACAACAAAATATGCATAAGAACAGGAAAGTCTAACCTACACAGGAGAAAAAAAAAGCAGTGAATAGAAACTGTCTCTGAGAGGTCCCAGGTATTGAATTTAGTAAAGAAGAGCCTCAAAACAGCTATTGTAAATATACTTAAAGAAGTAAAGAAAATTTATGTTTAAAGAATTAAAGGAAAGCATGACAACAATAATGCATTAAATGAAGAATATCAATAAAAGGAGAGAAATTACAAAAGGGATCAACTGAAAAATTTAAATCTGGAAGACAGAATCAGAAAACTTGAAGATAAATCAATAAAAACTTTAAGGGATAAAGGAATATAAAGGAAAGTGAACAGAGCTTCAAAGGCCCATGGAATACCATCAAATACACCAACACACACACAGTAAGAATGCCAGAGGGGAGGAGAGAGAAAAGGGGAAAAATCTGATAAAATTTTGAATAAAACATTAACTTACACCATGAAGAAGCTCAATAAGCTGTGAGATTAATACAAAGAAGCCTACACCCAGACACAACATAGTTGAACTGTTGGAAGCCAAAGAAAAGAATATTGGAAGCAACTAGAGAAAAACAACCCATCACATATACAGAAACCAAAATAAAACTAACAACTGACTTCTCATATGAAACAATGCAGGTCACAAGGCAGTGGGATGACGTATTCAAAGTGCTGAAAGAAAAAGAAAAAAATTATGAACCAAGATTCTATATCCAGAAATTTGAATCTACATGAAGAAATAAAGAGCATTAGTAAAAATAAGTGAGTAGGTAAATGTGAAAGACAGTATAAAGACATTTTCTTTTTTCTCCTCTTATCTGCTTTAAAACATAATTGCATAAAGCAGAAGATATGTGTGAAGATATAATTGATATTACAATAATAGTACAAATGAGGGGGAAAAATGGAGCTATAAGGGATCAAATTTTCTATATTTTATGGGAATTAAGTTAATGTTAATATGAGGTAGATTATGTTATGTTGCGGGAAGTCAGGGACCCCAAACGGAGGGACCGGCTGAAGCCATGGCAGAAGAACATGGATTGTGAAGATTTCATGGACATTTATTAGTTCCCCAAATTAATACTTTTATAATTTCTTATGCCTGTCTTTACTGAAATCTCTAAACATAAATTGTGAAGATTTCATGGACACTTATCACTTCCCCAATCAATACCCTTGTGATTTCCTATGCCTGTCTTTAATCTCTTAATCCTGTCAGCTGAGGAAGATGTATGTCACTTCAGGACCATGTGATAATTGCGTTAACTGCACAAATTGCAGAGCATGTGTGTTTGAACAAATATGAAATCTGGGCACCATGAAAAAAGAACAGGATAACAGCAATTGTTCAGGGAATAAGAGAGATAACCTTAAACTCTGACCACCCGTGAGCCAGGCGGAACAGAGCCATATTTCTCTTCTTTCAAAAACAAATGGGAGAAATGTTGCCGAATTCTTTTTCTCAGCAAGAAACATCCCTGGGAAAGAGAATACACGCCTGGGGGTATATGTCTATAGACGGCCCACTGGGCGTGCTCGTCTTTTATGGTCTGTAGACTGTAGGGGTGAAATAGACCCCAGTCTCCTATAGTGCTCCCAGGCTTATTAGGAAGAGGAAATTCCCACCTAATCAATTTTAGTCAGACCGGTTGCTCTCAAAACCCTGTCTCCTGATAAGTTTTTATCAATGACAATGGTGCCCAAAACTTCATTAGCAATTTTAATTTCGCCCCGGTCCTGTGGTCCTGTGATCTCGCCCTGCCTCCATTTGCCTTGTGATATTCTATTACCTTGTGAAGTACTTGATGTCTGTGACTCACACCTGTTCGCACACTCCCTCCCCTTTTGAAAATCCCTAATAAAAACTTGCTGATTTTTGCGGTTTGTGGGGCATCATGGAACCTACCAACATGTGATGTCTCCCCCGGATGCCCAGCTTTAAAATTTCTCTCTTTTGTACTCTGTCCCTTTATTTTTCAAGCCGGCTGACGCTTAAGGAAAATAGAAAAGAACCTACGTGACTATTGGGGCAGGTTCCCTGATAGTGATATATTATATTGCAATCCCTAGGGCAACCATTAAGACAATAACTAAAAAATATAGTTTAAAGGAATTAAAATGGTACACTAAACATATCTATTTAACACAAAAAAAGCTGTAAAAGAGGAACAGGAGAACAAAAAAGACATGAAATATTAAAAACAAACAGCAGAATCGAGACGGCTGACTAGACACAGCCAGGAAGAGCTTTGCCCTTTGAGAGAGACCAGATCATCAAGTAGACTGACACACTAAGCAGATCTTCTCTCAGAAAGAAGACATTGAGAGTGGACAGAGGGAGGACATGGACCCCAGGCTGAAAGGGGAAGAAGTTGGGAAACCTGTACAAGGTTGCTGAGCAACAGGACTTGTTTCTGGCTCTGAGCTGCTCCTAGGGAAAGGGTGAGTGAAGTAGGTATAGAGTGGCCCACTCTCACCACAGACCTCAGGGATCCTAGCTGCAGGAGACCTCATGATCCTCATGGACATCTCAGCTGGCAGGGAGAACTACCCAGAGAGTTGGCAGAGACAGAACTCCAGCTGTGTGAAGCCCAGGTTTGGCCTAGGAATGGCTGCAGTGGACTACAGCCAGGGCCACCCATCTCCCAAGGCTTGCCATACTTCTCTAGGCTGCTTTAGCCTTTGATAGCTGCTGGACCTGGACAGAGAAGGGCTTTCTTGCTTCTCTGTGGGATGAGTCCCGACTTATCTGAGTACCCCTTATCTGCCAGCCTTTCCCAGGGCTCCTGCCTGGCTGTACCCACTTGCAATGTAGCTTCAGCTTACTAGTGGCCACTGTCACAGCTCTTTTGCCAGTAGACCCTGCCTACCCCTCAGAGTGCTTTTGCAAAGGAACCCTCACCATAATGCAGCTGCTTGCAGCCTCCCCCTGCCAGCATGCACGTGCCTGTAGACTTCCCCACCGGCATGCACTTGCCCAAAGTCTCCCCTTCCACCACCCCACCAGTGTGCACATGCGCACAGACCTGCCGCCACCCTACCAGCATGTGTGCATGCAGGAACCCCTGCTGCCCTGTTGATGCACATGCATGTGGAGGCCCACTGCTGCCCTGCTGGAGCGTGGCTGCCAGAATCCTTCATCAGAGTGTTGCTACCAATAGACTGGGAACATCTTAGCTTCTCCATTGTAGCAGGTACTTAACCTTGAGGTTCCAGAGAACAAAGCCACAGGCCTGGTCCCAGTCCCCCAGGGTTAGAGCATGCAACCCATGAGTGTTGAGCTGAGTTTTGGTCCCCTTGAAGCATGCAGAAATGGAGCCAATTGACTAAACCCAATTTATACCACACTCAAACCCTCAATGGCATCAAAGAATATAAAAGTAAAAATCTCCATCTAAAAAACAGCAACTTCAAAGATTAAAGGAACATCAGCCCACACAGATGAGAAAAACCAAGAACTCTGGCAACTCTAAAAGCCAGAGTGTCTTCTTACCTTCAAGTGATCACACTAGCTCCCCAGCAATGATTGTTAACCAGACTGAAATGGCTTAAATAACAGGCATAGAGTTTAAAATCTGGATGGCAAGGAAGCTCACTGAGATATAGGAAAAGGTTGAAATCCAATCAAAGGGAAACAGTAAAATGGTCCAAGAGTTGAAAGACAGCATAGCCATTTTAAGAAAAAAACAAACTGAACTTCTGGAAATGAAAAATTCACTACAGGAATTTCAGAATGCAATTTGAAACATTAATAACAGAATAGACCAAGCTGAGGAAAGAATCTCAGAACTCAAGAGACTGTTCATTCAAATTAATGCAAGCAGAAAAAAAATTAAAAAACGAACAAATCCTCCAAAAATATGGAATTAAGCAAAGAGACCTTACATATGACTCATTGGCATTTCTGAAAGAGATGTAGAGAGAACAAGCAACTTGGAAAACATATTCGAGGATATGGTCCACAAAAACTTCCTCTACCTCATTAAAAAGGTTAACATGCAAATTCAGGAAATTCGGACAACCCCTGTGAGATACTATACAAGATGACCATCTGCAAAACACATAGTCATCAGTTTCTCCAAAGTCATGGCAACCAAAAAAACCTTATAGGCAGCTTAAGAGGAGGGGCAGGTCATGTACAAAAGGAATTCCATCAGGTTAACAGTGGACCCTTCAGCAAAAACCTTATAAGCCAGAAGAGATTGGAGGCCTGTATTCAGCATCCCTATGGAAAATAAATTCCAACCAAGAATTTCAAATCCAGTCAAACTAAGCTTCATAAGTGAAGGAGAAATAAAATCCTTTTCAGACAAGCAAATGCTAAGAGAATTTGTTACCATCAAATCTGCCTTACAATAGGTCCTTAAGGGAGTGCTAAACATAGAAATGAAAGACCTGTTATCTGACCCAATGTTAACGCACTTAAGTACATAGCCCACAGGCACTAAAGCAATTACAAGCAAGTCTACATAACAACCAGCTAACAACAGGACAGAGTCAGATCCTCATATATTAACCTTGAATGTAAATAGGCTAAATGTCCCACTTAAGGACACAAAGTGTCAAGTTGGATAAAGAAGCAAGACCCAACTATATGCTGTCCTCAAGAGACCCATCTCATATGCAATGACAACCACAGGCTCAAAGTAAAGGGATAGAGAAAGATCTATCACGCAAATGAAAACCAAAAAAGAAGAGAAAGTGCTATGCTTTTTTTCAGACAAAACCAACATTAAACCTACAATGATCAAAAAGGACAAAGAAGGGCATTACATAATGATAAAGGGTTAAATTCAACAGGAAGACTTAACTATCCTAAGTATATATGTATGTAACACTGGATCACCCAGATTCATAAAACAAGTTCTTAGAGACCTACAAAGAGACTTAGATAACAGTACAATAATAGTGGGAGACTCCAAATATGTTTTCCAAGTTGCTTGCTCTCTCTACATCTTTCAGAAATGCCACTGACAATGTTAGATCATTGAAGCAGAAAACTAACAAAGATATTTGGAACCTAAGCTCAACACTTGATCAAATGGACCTAATAGACATCTAAAGAATAGCCGACCCAACGAAAACAGAATATACATTCTTCTCATCTCCACATGGCACATGCTATAAGACCTACCACATACTTGGCCATAAAGCAATTATTGACAAATTCAAATAAACCAAAAATTATACCAACCACACTCTCAGACTATAGCACAATAAAAAGATAAATACCAAGAAGATCTCTTAAAACTATACAATCACATGAAAATTAAACAACCTACTCTTGAATGACTGTTGAATAAAGAATGAAAAATTCAGGCAGAAATAAAAAAACTATTTGAAAAACTAATAAAATCAAAGATACAATTTACCAGAATTTCTGGGACACAGCTAAAGCAGTATTTGGGAAGTTTATAGCACTAAATGCCTACATCAAGAAATTAGAAAGATCTCAAATTAACAACCTGACATCACACCTAAAGGAACTAGAAAAACAAGAGTAAACCAACTCCAAAGCTAGAAGAATAAAAGCAATAACAAAAATCAGAGCAGAACTGAATGAAATTGAGATGCAAAAATTCAATGAAACTGGATTAATAAAACCAGGAGTTGTGTTTTTTTTCAAATAATAAATAGATTGATAGACTGCTAGCTAAATTAATCATGATAAAAAAGAGAGACCATCCAAATACATATAATCAGAAATGGCAAAGATGGCATTACTGACCACACAGAAATACAAAAATTCCTCAGAGACATTATGAACATCTCTAGATGTTCACAAACTAGAAATCCTGGAAGAAATGGATAAGTTCCTAGAAACATACAACCTTGTAAGATTGAACCATGGAAAATTGAAATCCTGAACAGGTCAATAACGAGTTCAAAAACTGAATTAGTAATAAAAATCCTACCATCTGGAAAAAGGCCTGGACCCGATGGATTCACAGCCAAATTCTACCAGACATTTAAAGAAGAGCTGGTATCAATCCTGCTGAAATTATTCCAAAAAACTGAGAAGGGACTCCCCCCTAACTCATTCTATAAATCCAGCATCATTCTGATACCAAACATTGCAGAGACACAACAAAAAAGAAAACCTCTGACCAACATGCCTGATGAACATAGATGCAAAAATCCTCAGAATACTAGCAAACTGAATGCAGCAGCACATCGATAAGTTAATTCACGACAATCAAGTAGGCTTAATTCCTGGGAGGCAAGGTTTGATCAACATACACAAATAAATAAATGTGATTCACCACAAAAGCAGAATTAAGACAAAAACTATATGATCATCTGAATAGACACAGAAAAAGCCTTCTGTGAAATCCAACATCTCTTTATGATAAAAACCCTCAACAAACTAGGCATCAAAGGAGCATACTTCAAAATAATAAGAGCCATCAATCACACACTCACAGCCGACATAACACTGAGTGGGCAAAAACTGGAAGCATTCCCCCTGAGAACTGAAACAAGACAAGGATGCCCACTCTCACCACTCCCATTCGACATAATGCTGGAACACCTAGCTAGAGCAATCAGGAAAGAGAAGGAAATAAAATGCATCGAATTGGAAAAAAGGAAGTAAAATTATCTCCGTTCACTGATGACATAATGTTTACACCTAGAAAACCCCATAGTCCCTGCCCAAGGGCTTCTAGAACTAGTAAACAATTTCAGTAGTTTCAGGATACAAAATCAGTGTACAAAAATCCAAGGCATTTCTATACCCCAATGACATCCAAGCTGAGAGCCAAATCAAGAACACAATTCCATTTGCAACAGCCACAAAAAGAATAAAATACCCAGGAATACAGCTAACCAGGAAGTTGAAAGATCTCTACTACAAGAATTACAAAACACTGCTGAAAGATGAGACAACAGTAACAAATAGAAAAACATTCCATGCTCATGGATAGGCAGACTCAATATTGTTAAAATGGCCATACTGCACAAAGCAATTTACAGTTTTAATGCTATTTCTATGAAACGATAAAGATCATTTTTCACAGAATTAGAATAAAACTATTCTAAAATTTGCATGGGAGCAAGAAAAGAGCGTGAATGGCTAAAGTAAGCCTAAGCAAAAAGAACAAAGCTTGAGGCATAACAGTACCCAACTTCAAACTATACTACAGGGCTACAGTAACTAAAAGAGCATGTTACTGGTACAAAAACAGACACATGGACCAATGGAACAGAATGGAAAGCCCAGAAATAAGGCCACATGCCTGTACAGCCTGCAGAACCCTGAGTCAATGAAACCTCTTTTCTTTATAAATTACCCAGTCTCAGGTATTTCTTTATAGCAATGCAATAATGGCCTAATACACTGAGCCACAAAACAAATATCAGTATATTTAAAAGGATTGTAAGGATTGAAGGATTGAAATCATACAATGTATGTTCTTATCACAATGGTATTGTTAGAAATTGACAACAGAAAGAAATTTTGAAAGCCTACAAATCTATCAGAATTTAAATAAAAACATGTCTAAATTATTGGTCAAAGGAGAAATCCCAAGAAAAATTAGAAAATTTTTTGAATTAAATAAAAATGGAAAAATAATATATTAAAATTTACTAGATAAGCTAAAACAGTGTGCAGGGGGATATTTATGGCTTTAAACACCTATATTAGTAAAATAAAGTCACAAATAAAAAACCTGAGTTTCAACCTCAAGGAAGTAGAAAAAGAAAAGCCAACTAAGCCCAACACAAGTTAAAAGAAGGAAATATAATAGATATCAATAAAATAGAAAACAGAAAAACAATGAAAGGAATCAATGAAACCAAGAGTTGGTTCTTGAAAAGATTTTAAAAATTGGCAAACTTTTAGCTAGACTTAGCAAGAAAAAACAGAAAAGATCAGGAAGTTAGGAATAAAAGAGGGGGCATTACTACTATTCTTACAGAAATGAAAAAGATTAGAAGAGAATCTGTGAACAACTTTATATCAATATATTAGAAAACTCAGATGAAATTAACCAATTTGCAGATAAATGCAAATGTCCAAAACTGACTAAAGAAAAAATAGAAACTTTAAAAAGATCTATAAAAAATAAAGGAATTAAATTAAAGTAAAACTATTCCCACAAAGGAAACTTCAGGCCCAGTTGGCTTCACAGTTACATTTTATCGAAATTAGAAAGAATAAATAATACCAATTCTTCATAAACTCTTCAAGAAAATAGAAGGAGAGGGAACACTTCTTAACTCATTCTCTGATATCAAAGCCAGACAAAAAAAATATAAAAAAAGAAACTATAGATCATTATCCTTCATGAATGTAGGCACAAAAATTCTCAACAAAATAGCAAAGTGAATAGAGCTACAGATACAAACAACTATGTACAGTGACAAATGGAATTTATTCCAGGAATGCAATGCTGTTTTCACATCTAAAATCAACTTGTGGCTGAACACAGTGTCTCATGCCTGTAATTCCAGCACTTTGGGAGGCCTAGGCAGGTGAATCATTTGAGGTCAGAAGTTCAAGACCAGCCTGGCCAACATGGCAAAACCCCATCTCTATTAAAAATACCAAAATTAGCTGAGTATGGTGGCACACACCTATAATCCCAGCTACTTGGGTGACTGAGGCATGAGAATTGCTTGAATCCAGGAGGCAAAGGTTGCAGTGAGCCAAGATCATGCCATTGCACTCCAGCCTTGGCAACAGAACAAGAATCCATCTCAAAATAAATAAATAATTAAATAAATAATAAAAATCACCTTGTGTAATATACCATATTAATAGAATAATGGACAAAAGAGACACAATTATCCAAATAGGTACCCAAAAATAATTTCACAAAATAAGCACCCATTCATAATAAAAACTTGCAAGAAACTAGGAATAGAAGGGAACTTCCTCAATCTGATAAAGAGAATTCATGAAAAGCCCACAGTTAACATCATACTTAATGGTGAAAGACTAAATGCTTTCCCCCTAAGATCAGAAACAAGATCAGCATGTCTGATCTCACCAATTCTACTCAAAATTGTATAGTTAAATCAGACAAGAAAAAGCTACAAAAGGCACCTCAATTGGAAAGAAAGAAGTAAAGCTGTCTTTATTCAGAAATGAATGATCCTGTATTTTGAAAATCCTGTGAAATCCTCAAAGAACCTAGCAACCAGGTGGAGGTGATCAATTAGGACAATGTGACAAACAGATAACAATGGTGAGAGAGCAAGCAAGAGGCAAAAAAAGGCACTGGCTCCTAGTGCTCCATTTTTCTCCAAGGCACCTGATAAGAAAGCCTTTGAATTGAGACGACTTGGTCAGGAATTCAGATATACATATAAGCATGGCTGGTCCACCTTAGGGGAATTGAGTCCTTGACTGTGAGATTTAGAAAACTGCAATGCATTGGCTGTGCACCAAGTCTGGAATGGGAAGGGAAGCTTCCCTTCATGATGTCTGCCAGGCAGTCTTGTAATTGCTTATAGTCAGGCTTGAGGGATCATACATAGGATTTTGGCCTGAATTGAGACTCCTCAGAAGCTACTACAACTAATAAATGAGTTCAGAAAGACTACTGGATATAATGTCAATACAGAAAAATCAGTTGTAATTTTATGTAGTAGCAATGAACCCTCCAAAAATGAAATTAAGGAAACAATTCCATCAAAAATAATATTAAAAAGAATAAAATAAAGCTAAATTAAATTCAAAAACTACAAGATGTGTACACTGAAAACTAGAAAACATTGAACAAATTTAAAAAGAACTGAATAAATGATGAGTTATTCTATGTTTATGGATAGGAAAACTCAATATTGTTAATAAGGTAATTCTTCTTTCATTGATCTATAAATTCAGTGCAGTGGCTATCAAAATCTTATCAGGTCTTTTTACAGAAATTGACAAGTTGATTCTAAAATTTATTTGAAGTACAAAGACCCAGAAAAGCCAAAATAATTTGGAAAAAAAACAAAGTTGGAAGATTTTACACTTCCCAATTTCAAAGTTTACTGTATAGTAACCAAAATAGTGTGGTATTGGCATGAGTATAGACCTATAGATCTATAGAACAGATTTGACAGTCTAGAAATAAACTGTTACATTAATGGTAAATTGATTTGTGACAAAGGAGTCAGGCCAAGTTAGTGGAGGAAAGGATAGTCTTTCAACAAATGACTGTGAAATAATTGGATATCTACATGCAAAAAGATGAATTTAGAATCATAAGTTCAATGTACCATACCAAAAAATCAACTCAAACTGGATCATAAACTTAAATGTATGAAATAAAACTATAAAACTTATAATGAAGACATAGTGGAAAATCTTCATGATCTTGGGTTAGGCAAAGAGTTCTTAGATACAGCATCAAAGTATAATTCATAGAAGATAATAATTGATACATTGGATTTAATCATTATCAAAATCTTTTGTGCTTCAAAAGGGAACCACTAAGAAAATGCAAAGACAACACAAACTAGGAAAAAATTTTTGCAAAGCATTAATTTGATAAAGGACATTCATATCTAGAGCACACAAATTGCTCTTACAACAATAATCAGAAGACAAAAAAGAAGCAAAATATTAGAATAGCTATTTCACTAAAAAAGTATACAAATGCCAATAAGCATATGAAAAGATGCTTAACATCTGTAGTCATTATAGAAATGCAAATTAAAACTATAATGAGATACTACTTCACATCCACCAGAATGACTATAATTAAAAAGAGAGATAATAACAAGTGTTGGTGAGGATGTGGAGAAATTGGAACTTTCTACATTGCTGGTGGAAATTTATAATGGCACAGCCACTTTGGAAAACAGTTGGATGGTTTCTTGAAAATTTAAACATAAATTTTTCATATGATCCACAATTCTATTGTTAGGTATCTACCCAAGAGAAATTTTTGAAAACGTATATCCACATAAAGACTTTTACATGAATATTCATAGCAGCATTATTTATAATAGCCCATTTGGAAAGAATCCAAATGTTCAACTGGTGAATGCATAAGCAAAAGTGGTACACAAGTAGTTATTTAGCAATAAAGAGGAGCCAAATATTGATACATGCAGTGACATAGATAAATTTCAAAAATACTATGCTCTGAGGAAGAAGTCAGACATGAAAAAGCACATATTGTATGATTCTATTTGTATGAAATACCTAGAAAAGGCAATGACAGAAAGTAGATTATTGATTACCTGGTGCTGGGAGTGAGAATGGGTATTGACTACATACTGGTATGAGGGATCTTTTGGGGATGATCAGAATGTTTTAAAGCTGGATTTTCGTGATGATTATACAATTTAGTAAGTTGCCTAAATTTACTAAAAATCATTGAATTATACACTTAGAAGAGTAAAGAAAAAATAGATATTGGCTAGGTAAGATATCATTGATGATAGTGCCTGATAACTTCATTAACAGAAAGGAATTATCTGACTTGCTCTCTCTTTATGTATACATATACATATTTTTTGCATCTTTTCTGAAAAATTGCATATCAGCAACAAAGGAACCAGGTCAGAACATTTTATCACACAAAAACCTGGCTGAAATTTGGATTTGGGGTATGTTTTAATTTTTTGGTTCTCTAAGAGTTAACATTTCAAATAATATAGCTAGATCTTGAAAATTTTTACTTTTCAATACCTAGTTTTACTTTTTTGTGAATTTTAAGTATAAATTTCATTTTAATTTCAAAAGAGAAAGGAAACGGGCAACATACCCAGAATTAGCAGTGAACTGGAAAACTGTCTATAAAGATATGAATTCTGACATCAAGTTATGGACACTATTGTCCTTCTCCCTCTTCCCATCAAAACCCCCCAGAAATACTGTCACCTGTGGTGGTTGTCAGATTTCCCCTAAGTCAACTTTCATTCTCAACCCCATCTTGGCTTTTCTGTCACCTATGATCCCTCGACTCTCGGGAATAAAAGTAACCAGGCTGAATAAAAGCAACAGGGTGATTGTGTGATGGGGACCAGTGGTTCCCAGACACTGGGTTAAGAGGCCACAAAATTGATTTCACTTGAGAGCAAATTCAGATCTGAACCCAGTTTTTCAGAGGTGAAAGAGATCTATTGATTTTTGTCACAGTCAGTTTAAAACTGAAATGATCGCCATTTTAACGTGTCAGACTGAACAGATCTATTGGAAATGAGTATCATTGCCACTGGAAGCTGTTTT
Organism: Homo sapiens; assembly: GCF_000001405.40. NCBI lineage: Eukaryota > Metazoa > Chordata > Mammalia > Primates > Hominidae > Homo > Homo sapiens. The sequence goes on along the minus strand of NC_000004.12, from coordinate 84,329,425 downwards.
TCTTTTGACTGAATTCTATATTGTACATCTTAGATGGAAAATAAAGTAATAAGACAGTGAAAAGCAGCTGGTAAATTCTATGGCAGGTGTTATTTACCCCTACAGGTAAATGATGCAGGCCAGGAAGGAAAAAAAGTTCGTTTGCTGAAGTGCCTACAAAACCTGAGTCTTCCCTGATTGGAGACAATTCACCTAAGTCATGATCAGATCAGTCTATGGGGCTGAAATAATTTTTGTAAAAGTGTCAGCTGATCCAGTTGTTGAGGGTTTGCAGAAAGAGTTTTCTCAAGGCATGTGGAAGAGACATCTCTGAGAGTTGTGGGTTTTTGAGAGGTTCTTGGCAGAATTTGGCTTGGAGCTTAATAGTGAACATTAAACAAACATGACAGTGAATACACATACATATTAGACTACTTCTGGAAAGTATAAGTAATATTATAGTGTTTTAAAATGAACCTAAATTTCATTCATAGATATTGCATTTTTATGTTAGCCCTTCCTCTTGGGAAGTGCCAGAGTGAAAAAGACTTGATATCTCTTCAGTCAATTGGTTTTCAAACTGATTATTCTTAGTCTAGCCACTTGAGAAAATTTTGGGGGGTTGTTTCCTAGAGATTTAAGTGTTCTTAAAGCCAATCTTTATCCAGGGAAAATATTTATCTTCCTGGTTTTTGAAAGTGAACAAATTGAGTTCATTACTTTTCTTAAGAGTTTGAGTTCTATTTTCTATAGTTTTCCAATTATAAGTCACTGTGATAACTTTTCAACACATTTTATCCAAGAGATGAAACTATTTTGCCAAATACAAACTGTGACATTTTGGTGCAGTGACTCCCTTTCTACTCATGCTCTTCTTTGATATGTCACTTAATATTTACAACAAAAACATAAGGTGTATATTATTAGTCCCATGTTGTTGATGAAGAAATGGGAATTTAAATAGGTTAAGTAACTTGTTTGAGGTGACATAGCTTCTAAGTAGATTCCCGGACCAAGTCTTTTGGAGTAATAAAGCTCTGTTCTTTCTCAAAACTGTGCTTCTCCTAGGTATCCCTGCAAGGTAGTTTAAGTACCCATTATGGTGTAGTTCTGGCATTTGAAGGATGTGTCTACCTAGCAGGGTAAAAATGCTTATAGATCATCATTGCTTCATGTTCCAGGGGCTTCATCATAGCAGTATATACATCACTAGGATAGGGTTAAGTGCTCTCATGGAGAAAGTCTACTGTTGATTTTTTTTTCAACCAAAAGTTATAGTTTAAGCTGTCTTATAAACAGATCTGTCACTAAAACTATATAAACTAAGACAGAGTTTAACAGCTAAATTTATCCATAAGCTACAAAAACAGTCCCATGATAAAGCAAATTGTCATGCATTAAACATGTCAGTTCATCTAAAGTTTTTATCAATGATCTGAAAGGCATTTCTTGATCATTTAAATGGCGTAACATATTTTATTTCCTTATGTACCACTTGCAGTTTATGGTTAGATTCTTATTACACCAAGTGTAGACAAAACCTCTTGAAGTAATTTTTCTACCTGCCCAAAGTGAAGAGGAAAAAGTGCAAGTCAGATTTAACAGAAAATGGCTAGGTGAGGAATAGGTCATGCAAACCAAACATTAAAACCAGGTGGATTAGAAGGCTGAATGCCATGGCACTGATGAAAGATTCCAGGGGAGGTCATGTGGTTCTTCCTTAGATAAAGATCAAGGTGGAGTCTATGAGGCTCTGAATTTCAAAATCTTGGTAATGCCATATGAGGTCTACAAGACTAAGCCAGTGTTCCTTAGTTTGGTGATGCATCAATAGCACTTGTAAAATTTTTAACACATCCTGAATCTCACTGTAGATTACTAATCTGGGGTTTTGGAATCTGTATGCTTAAAAAATCCCTCCCCCCAAAAAACTATGCAGAAAAAGGAGAAAGGAAAAGAGAAGAAAAAAGGAAAAGGAAGAAAAGTAAAGGGGAATGAAGCACAAGTAATAAATCAAATAGGATAAAATGCCAACAGTAGGTAAACCTAGGTAAAGGGTAGCAGTGCTGGGCTATAGCTGGCATGAATTGGATCATTATTTTCTGCATCTCTTCCCAACTCCTTGTCAGTGACTTCACATTGGCAGCTTAAAATTGGCCATGCTGAGCATAAATGCACCATAGAAGTCAGCAAATGCAACAAATTAGGGCTTACCCTCCCCAAGAGCCTACTCACCAGCTAACCATTGAGTATTTGGGTGCTCTTTATAAAAATTACACCCTCCACCCCAACCCCTCCCACACAAAAAACCCAAACACTCTTCTAGTGATGCAATTGCAACCGTCTTGGCATTTGGGAAGTGCTGTGCTTGACGGCAAGTTTCCTGAGGGCAGGGACCATGTCTACCTATATCTCTGCTACCTCCCCAGCATGTAGCCTGGTGCCAGACATATGCTGGACAATAAATATTTATTGAATAAATAAATGAAGTTTTCATTTTAAAACACTTTATGTTACCCATGTGTTAGCTTAATTTGGGATGAGTGGAGGGAATGGAATAAGATGATAATATATAATTAACATTCTGTATGAAACTCTCTTTAGCTCCTGTGGGGAGAAGGTATTTAACAAACGGAAAGTATAAGGTCCAAAATTAATCTCATCTTAACCTCAGGAAATGCATAAGGGAAGAAAATTCACATTACTGATTACACACTGGTACCTGACAGATAGAAATGAGATAATAAGTAGATATTGACTTCTGTTGAGGTGAACATCAAGATCTATTGACCTGAGAGGTAAATATTGACCGAGGTGAAGTCAAGGTCAATATTTGCCTCAAAGAATAGGAAATCTTAATGCTCACCAATATATAAAGGTTATATGTGAATTTTTACATACATTTTCCTGGCATAACATTATGAAAGTGCTATATTTTCTCAAGCAATGCACAAAAGTCTCTTTTAAAAGTTTAAGTTCCATACAAATGGCAGTTTTAAGGAATAAGAATTTCTACTGTCTTTTCTATTGTTGATTTTTGCTGAGCCATTAGTTAAGAGAATTTGATATGGTCTGATTGTGGTACAGCAAAGGTTAACAAGAGTTTAATAGAACTCAAGCCATCCCTTAGGAGGGCACAAAGAACATCTTCCCAAGTCATCATGGCTACCAGTGACATTTTCTCTTGACTGTCTTTGTCAATCATGACAATCTTTCTTTCTGTAACAACACATCTTAATCATAGAGTCCTAAGATTTTAAGTCTGCAAGGGTATTCATCTAATCATTAGATTCTAATTTATTTCCTGACTTTAAGCTGCACTCTATCAAAAGATGATCCTGGGCCAGTAAGCCCTGATCAACATGAATCTCTAAATTATTTTATTCTGTAGGATCCTATGGTGGAGAAGAAGGGGTGAATCTTTCAGGGAGTGGAACATTTTAATTGCTCTTCATTGCTCTGTTTTGTAGAGAAGTCCCCATCACTATTGCTGGAAACTTCAAACCATCTAGAACCTAATCTCCAAAACCTGCTAGTTTCCGTAGTAACAGAATGTTTAGGCCAAGCCAGGAGGAAACTCCTTTTCCACAAAGCTCAATTACCCAGTCACCTCCCAAGTTACCATTCACTAGTGCTGCCTCTGCTGGTATAGGTCTTGCTTAACTTGGAGTAATTTGAATGGAAGCATTCTCACCTGGCTTCCTTTAGGACCTGCTCCTGTTTCATAAGGTCCTGTTTCTTTGTCTAACTTTCAGACCACGAAACAAAATTAAAGGCCCCTCAAAGTAATGCAGATGTCAGTGGATGCAATAACACAGTTGGTGTCCTGGTTGCCTTTCAGTTCTGATAAGCTACTTGAAGGTAAAGACAATGCTCTATACCTCTTCATTTACCTTTTGGCACCCAAGAAGGGGAGTGGATCTTGAACAGGTAAGTGCTGAATGATCAAGTGTGTGAATGAATGCAAAAGCCCTCCTCATTGTTTTCTTATTCTTTCCTTCTACCTCAAGGCATTTGCAGAAATGTCAGGAGGATAGGATGAACAGCACATGTAGTCAATGCAAGGATTTAAAAATCCCCACCCATGCTCCCCTTCCTCATGAGCTAGGCTCTAATATATGCACTGCTTGATTTTCATACATGCTGATTGCATAGCGATTTATTCTACAAGTGCCAAGGAGAAGAGTCACCCCCGGACTAAATGTAAAATCTTTATTCTCACCAATGTCTAAATCATTGTTTTCTTGAGGCTGAGATCATGTGGCACACATTATTAATAGCTCTGGTCTCTCCACCACTTGACACAGCGCTCCAGCTGTCTTTCTGCTCCCTGGCTCGTATGATTCTTGCACTGGTGAAGTGCCAGGCCCGGGCCTAGCCCATCAGTCACTGTCACCCACCACCCAGTGATGAATAGCCTGGCCGTCGCCGTGGCGAGGCCCGGGCTCTGATTCACACACGCCTGACTTTTACCAACTTCAGCACGCCAGCTGAGGCCTATCCCAGCTGAGGAAGGCCGCAGTGACCTGGAAATGGCACCGCCTCTGCTCCCCAACTCTCCCTCGGCCCCTCCCCCCACCCCGATTAGTTAAAAATGAAACAAATCCTAATGTGATCATGTCACTAATTATGCATTTAATTCAGTTATAAGGAGCTAATGGCTCCCTCAGTGACAGCTTTTACTGCTAAAAGGCAATTCATTCCTGAAACGGAGAAATCTAATTACACAAAATGCTTCATCCTAATCCTTTCAAAGAATAATCTTATTTGTAGACATTAACATCCCAGATGCTGCTGCTGTTTGTCCATTATGACAGTGTTTGTCCTGAATAATGTATAAATAGCTCTTTCTGGACAGTTGCATGTCACTAAATCAATACAATTTGCTGCCTTCTGTTACATTAAGTTGGCCTGGGCAGGCTGGAGAAAATTAACCTTTTGTTTTCCTCCCCTCCCCCTTTCTCAAAGGGCCTTCAGCATTAGAAATGAGAAGAGGATTAAAGGGGCCTGGGGTGGGGATGAAAGGGGACAGTAGAGAAAGAGAGAGAGGAGTGAAGGAAGACAGGTATGAACGAAGCTGCAAACAGAGAGAGAGAGAGGAGTGAAGGAAGACAGGTATGAAAGAAGCTGCAAACAGCTAGGGCAGGAAATGTCAGGTATAGAAATGCCATCAGATGAACCACAAATGATAGGTAGGAGAAAATGGCAAACTTCTATGATGATTATTTTGGAATTACTCCAGATGTAGACCTGAACCAGAGCATTTTATGTGCTGACTCTTGGTGTCAGACTTCTTAATTCTAAATGATGCTTTCTTTGCAATGGTGCTTTGATGTAACATGGAGAGTTCATGTGGAGTGGGGAGGATGGCAACCACATGCCTCAGTTGACTGTGATATTCTTGCTCAGAATGGCATTTTTATGGAAAGCATTCAAGATGCTGCCTAATAACCACAACATATATTTGTGTAATTTATGGCTTAACAAAGGATTTGCACATAGATAATTTCATTTGATTTACACAAGCTTGAACGGGAGGCATCAGGGTTCCCATCCTAGAGGTGAGGAAGTGGGGGCTAAGTGACTTGTCTGTGGGGGTCTAACTGTGTCTCATCTCTATTTTTTTAATCTCTTGGTTTTGAGTTGAATCTTTCAATTATACTACAGCTGACTCTGCATATGCCAAACCTCCAATTATTCAGGAAAGTCTCATAGCAAATGTCTTTTATATTTTATTTTAAGGCATCCCTCAAATTTGTGTTCATATACACAACACACACACACAGACACATTTTTTCCATGTGAAACATAGGTAGGTGAGTTTTATTATGAAATTATTCAAAGGCTATAAAAGTATTGGGTGTGCAAGTGTAAGTTAATTTCTAAATACTCTGAGTCCTCTTCTGAAGTTTAGATAACAGGTTGACAGACTCTTTCTATAAAGGGCCAGATAGTAAGTACTTCAGGCTTTGTGTGCCATATTGTATCTGTTATAACTTCTCAATTCTGCAGTTGTAGGACAAAAGCAGCTGTAGACAATAAGTAAACCAATGGTCGCTGAAGAGGTGGCAGACTGGATTTGGTCTTTGGGCTGTAGTTTGCAGACCCCTGGATTAGGTCATGCTATTAAAAAAGTTAATCTGAAACAATGCTACTTGATTTGTAAATTTTACTTTTTTTCCTTCATATTTCTACTCTTGCTTCCAGCCAATGCTTTTTTATTTTTAGTATTGTCTTATCATTAGAATACAGATATATATTGCTTTCCTACAAACTCGAAGAAGCCCGCAGAGGTTCCTGCAAAAGGATAAAGGGGAGTGAGAGTACATTATGTTCTCCTTGCCACTGCCTGATTTCTGTATAGTTTATTCTGACTGCTTTTGGGTATGTGGGCCAGCATTCAGTTTCACAGCTACACTATTGACTGTTTTTTATTTTTGGTACCAGGAATGGGATGAGGAAAGAGGGGTACAATGCAGCTATTAAAGTTAGGTTCTGCTGTTGGAAACATCCTGCTAAAAGCTTGTTTTAGTGCTTTTCAGCAGAGAAAATAATTCACTATAAGGCGGGACTGTTTTTAAAGGGGGGTTAGATTCTTATTACAAATAAGTTCTCGATTATCCAAAGCATGCTTAGAAGCCCACCTATGGCATACATTGGTAAGTGCCAGAAGCTATTTTCGATAGCACTTCAATAATGGAAAAGAAAAAAAAACTTGTTTAAAGTTGATGCTGAGAGCAAGACTTTAAAAAGCAGCTCTCACACACCTACAGTCATCTGATATTTGACAAAAATAAGAAACGGGGAAAGGACTCCCTATTCAATAAATGATGCTGGGATAACTAACTAACCATATGCAGAAGAATGAAATTGAACTCCTACTTTTCACCATATACAAAAACACATACACACACACAGACACATTTTTTCTGTATAAAACATAGGTAGGTGAGTTTTATTATGAAATTATTCAAAGGTTATAAAAGTATTGGGTGTGCAAATGGATTAAACTCAAGATGGATTAAAGATTTAAATGCAAGACCTCAAACTCTTAAGAATCCTAGAAGAAGAAAACCTAGGAAACACCATTGTGGACATTGGCCTAGGAAAGAATTTATGACTAAGTCCTCAAAAGCAATTGCAACAAAAATAAAAATTGACGAGTGGGACCTACTTACACTAAAGAGCTTTTGTACAGTAAAAGAAGCTATCAACAGAGTAAACAGAGAACCTATAGGAAGGAAGAAAATATTCATAAACTATGCATCCAACAAAGGTCTAATATCCAGCATCTATAAGGAACTTAAACAATTCAACAAACAAAAACCAAATAACTTCATTGAAAAGTGGGCAAAAGACATGAGCAGACACTTCTCAAAAGAGGACATACAAGAGGTCAAGAAACATATGAAAAAATGCTCAACATCACTAATTATCAGATAAATGCAAATCAAAACCACAGTGAGATATCATCTCACACCAGTCAGAATGGCTATTATTAAAAAGTCTGTGGAGAAAAGGGAACACTTATACACTGTTGGTGGGAATGCAAATTGGTTCAACCACTGTGGAAAGCAGTTTGGAGATTCATCAAAAAACTTAAAGCAGAACTACCATTCAACAGAGCAATCTCATTACTGGGTATATATCCAAAGGAATATAAATCATTCTGCCAAAAATATACATGTAGTCATTGGTTCATTGCAACAGTATTCACAATAGCAAAGACATGGAATCAACCTAATTGCCCATCAGCAGTGGATTGGATAAAGAAGAAATGTGGTATATGTACCACATGGACTACCATGGAATACTATGCAGCTGTAAAAAAGAACAAAATTATGTCCTTTGCAGCAACATGGATGCAGCTGGAGGCCATTATCCTAAGTGAATTAATACGGGAATGGAAAACCAAATACCACATGTTCTTATTTATAAGTGGAAACTAAGCATTGGGTACACTTGGACATAATGATGGGATTGATAGACATTAGGGACTACTAGAGTGAGGAGAGAGGGAGGAGGACAAAGGCTGAAACTACCTATTAAGTATGCTCACTATCTGGGTGATAGAATCATTTGTACCCCAAACCTCAATGTCATGCAATATATCCATGTAACAAACATGCACATATACCCTCTAATCTAAAATAAAATTTCAATTATAAAAAGGAGAAAATTATTAACAATATTGTATGAAAGTAAAATAAAATAAAATAAAGGGAGGCTCAGAAAAGGGACAGAATAGTAATGCATTCAAGCCTTCCTTTGATGAAATTAAATGGGAGCACCACTGAGGTGGTGCAGGAGTTGCAAAGCATTAGAGAGATCTTTGTAGAGAAGTTCAGAACATTCTTTGCTTTTTCTTTTATTATAGCTCTTTGGCTTGTGTTATATTCCTTTACACCTATGCTAAAGCATGATTTTTCTTGCTTCCTTCCTGTTTCCATAAAAATGTATGTGAGATAATCTATTTTGAAAGTAATGCTATACATGGCATCAAAAGGTTTACCCTTAGGTAAATCTTCAGAGTCTAATTCTTGTGTTACTATACTTTCTTCCTGGAAGAAGCCTTGATTTTTGGTATCTTCTGACTGTGAGCTGCTGAGTTTCTTTGAAGTGAATTCGTTAGCATCTAAGAAGCTGTTATCAAGTCTTTGGCTTTGTAAATTCTACATTGTCAGACTTTCCAAATGGTTACTGCCAGTCAAATCGACCATATTAATAATCCAATTACTACTTGGAATATGAGATTTTAAAAGTAATGTTAACCAGTCAACTGTGGCAAATGTTAATCCCAGACATAACAATATATTCTCTAGAATTAGACAGGGCTTCTTTAATGGTGTCCTGGTTTATTGTGGAAAAGGAAGTTATGATAGGGCGAGATGCAGAACAGAAAGTATTATTTCTGGAAAGTAATTTGTTTGGGGTGCCCCTTTAAACCATCAGGGCCAACGTCACTGAAGAGGGCTCAGATTAGCTGATCTGGTTGATTGGGCCTTAATCCATCACTTCTTGAGCCCCCTCAAATGTGTTATCACCAGGGATTTGTCTGGCTACATATGATTTCACGCATCTGTCATCTAAATCACAGATCCAAATGCAAAGTCCAGCACTAGGAATCATCACAGGCATTTGTGAAAATCCTTGGAGGAACTTGGGACCATAAATCAATGAATGGATTACAGTTCAATAGGACGACCTTCTCATTTATGATGAAATGATGTTGTCCACATGAATGCCTAGGTATTATGGTGATGAAGCTATAAAGATGTATTTGAGAGTAAATCTCTGTGGTTCTGCCTTATGCCAGTCTCTGAGTACTATCTCCATGATGAGAACCTTTTAAATTAAGACCGACCTGAAAAAAAAAATAAGCCACATGAAAGCTTGCTTGGCACTATCTTTGTGAATGGGCCAGAAAAAATTATTTTTTTTCTTCTTAGATGGAATAGTAGTAATAGTAATGGTAACAGAGACAAATATTTCTTTAATGTTTGCTATAACTATATACTATGTTAAACACTTATATGTGTTATCTCAGGAAACGGAGGCTCAGAGAGAGACTTAAATCATATACCTAGTGTTTATAGCTGGAGATTGGCCAGAGCCAGGATTTGAACCTAGGTTTTCTGACTCTAACCTTGTGACTCACCACACTGTAAGGAGAGTCTGTATCACAGTTGACTGCTTTGTTTAAGAAGCAGAGTGAGAGGGTTAGAATTTGTCTATATGCCCCATAAAGCCAGGGGTTTGTCGACTCAAATATTCTCTTTTCTGACTCCAAGCATTGCAGAAAACATCCACAGGAAGAGAGTCCCTATGAGGGCTATGACCCAGCTCTCCCTCTTGCCCACTGAGCCTACTTTGGAGCACCACCAACCTGTAACTTCTGACACAAATGGGTTAAAAGCCGGTGGGCTTGGCGGGAGACAGCATATTCCAGGAGCCTTCCTAACTTGGACAGTGGAGAGCTTTAACAGTTCCCAGCAGGATCATATTTGATCCGCATTTTCTCATCACACTGGAAAGCAAAACAACCTAAGAAAACAAAACAGCACAAAACTAGGACTACCCACTTCATGAACCTAGAGTTATTGTGTTGCGACATCAGCCTGGCGTCATTCTGTTGGCAGGACCTAGAAGTGCTGCTCAGTTAGCTCTTGGGAGGAGAGTCCTGAATGAAGTAATTTTAATGGTCTTAGCTTCCCTGGGAGTAAGAATATTTACCCCTTCAGTACTTGCCATAGTTGAGAATTTAAATTTTTTCCTGAGATTGAAGTGTGGCAGGCTGGGGAAACTTTCTGATGTTTTCACAGAAGGCAAATTTTATAGACCTTCAGTCTTTCATTTCATGAAAATATTAAAATTCCATGAGAGTCTACTTATATATTCAGCGTAAATTTCTTTGAACATTTTTTATTAAAATGTAAACTTATTAACTAATACTTGAAGATGATATTTTTTGCATTGATTTTGTGATTTTTTTTTTTTTTTTTGAGACAGAGTCTTGCTCTGTCATCCAGGCTGGAGTGCAGTGGTGCATCTCGGCTCATTGCACCCTCTGCCTCCTGGGTTCAAGTGATTCTCCTGTCTCAGCCTCCTGAGTAACTGGGATTACAGGCAACCACAACCATGCCCAGCTAATTTTTGTATTTTTAGTGGAGACTGGGTTTGGCCAGGCTTGTCTCGAACTCCTGACCCCAGGTGATCTGCCCACCTCAGCCTCTCAAAGTGCTGGGATTACAGTCGTGACCCACCATGCTCAGCCGATTTTGTGATTTTTAAATAACTTTTATTTAATTAAAATAGTTAACCTTCATTATGTTCCTAGTACCATAATAAGTGCCTTCTGTGCATTATTTTATTTATTTCTCACCACAATCCTATGATGCAGCTATATTATCATTCCATATTAGAAATGAGAAAACTGAGGCTCCAATAGGGTAAGTAGCTTGCTCACTATATCTAATTAGTGGCAGAGCCACTATCTCAATTCAGGTCTGGCTGACTTCACAGCCCTTTCTCTTAACCACTTTCTGTTGCCTTTCAATCTCTGAGAAAATTAATGCCTGTGAAAAGGATGAATGTTAAAAGCGATTGTAGAGCTCATAGATGTTACGTAGCTGAGCAAAAGCTTGGACATCATTTGTTATCTTTGTTTTCCTAATAGATAAATCAGAACAGGGGATAATGACTATGTCAATATGACATTAAATGCCTGTGTCAATTCAGTCAAATATCAAGTCACATTAATTGTTTGGCATCAAACAGAAAAACATGTTGCTTAACTCAAATTTCTGCTTTTAAATTGGTTATTCTGGCATAAAGGACTCAATCCTAGACAAAGGATAGAGATCACAAAACAAATACATTGTAAAACTGATAATTCAAACTGTTTTGGATTTCTACTCTGAATATACCATGCTTACTTAGGCTACTGAACATGAGAACCATAATCCTCCCCCCTTTATTTAATTCAGAGGCTGCACAATGTCAAATAGCTTGACAATTTTGTTTCAACTGAACTGAGTATAGAGACTACCAAAGTCAGCTTCACCCCTTCAGGGCTGCAAGATTTCTCTTGGAAATAGGCAAACATCTTTATTTTCCTTCTAGGTATCTTTGAAGTAGTCATGCTTTCTTACATAATAACTTCTCCACCAGTGTTTGTCAGCTCAAACCCATTTGACTTTCATCATAGAACCAAAAGTGGAAGTGGTAACTTTCTATATAGCTAGGATGGTCATAGAACCAATCCTCATGTATTTCACTTCTCTGCTGTAAAAGGCAGTCAGGATCCTACACACTTATGATGAAGCAAAATCAGATCAGTTCCCACCTCACCACCACCCTGCCTTGGAGGATTATTGTTATTGGGGCTGATTTAAGAGACAGAGTAGATGCATCTCAGTGTTTAGATCTTGTGTTGACCTGACAATGCCGGCATCTACGAAAAGCATTGCTTGATCTAAACTCTGAGGCAGTTTGATATAGAGGCTATCGACAGGAATCAGCTTGAAAGTCCCAACACGCCTTTTCCAGAGTCACTTTTCATATTGCAACTGCAATTCACACGTATTTGCCCTCTGGCACCATCAGGCATTATGAGAGAGCCAGGAAACCTGGAACTCAGACATTATGGGAAAATAAAAGGAAGTTATTTTATGTTGTTCAATAATGTTATATTATTATCTTTGTGATAGGCTAATTCATATACTCTGCAGAAGACTATGAATTAATGGCTTGGGAGTTCAAATTTGACTTAAAAAATATGTAACTTTAGCTGATGGATTCAATCTGCAATTCAAATGAGTATTTTGTACATTTGCCCGGGGTCTTTAAGTCAATAAGCTTAAATAAGTAAATAAAAACTTTTCCAATCATTTTAATAACATTCTCTTGGCTATACTTCAAGTCATTATGACCAGAAGTGACATCAGCAGCATAATTATGCTTTTGTATTAGCCCAAGGTATTCTTTGAGCTAAAAATCTGCCACCCATATTTATCTCTTTAATGCCCTTTTTACCATGTAAAGTATTTGCAGGGAAGTTCTTTATTCAGATTTATTTTCTCTCTTTAATCCTATTCATTTTTTGCAAATAGAAGTTTAGATTGAACTTATTTGCTTAATTTATGATGTAATAATTTTTGTTGTTGTTGTTGTTTTTATAAAAGACTAAGACAGTGGATGGGGGAAAACCCAGGATTAGGCTCAGAAGAAACGTAGCAACATCAAATGTTAGTTACCATTGTATTGAGGGAATTGGGGTAGCTTGAAGTTAGTCCTTCAACTTTAAGAACTCTGGAACTCAAAATAAAGTCATAATATAGCTATTCCATCTATCCCTTCCTCGCCCCTTCTGGCTGACTCAGTATCAGGACTCCTGAAATTGGCAGCATGTTGTATAATCATCTTTAAATTCAAAGTATTCAAAGCATATCTCATAGAATGTTAAAGCTGGAAGCAAACAGGTGTTTCAAACTGCATCTTCTATAGATAAATAAACTGTGGTCCAGGGAGATTTAGTATTCTGAAGTATACATCTTGCTAGACAAACTCAGATACTTCTGTCATGTTCTTTGCTTCCATAGCTGGCTTAGTCTTGGTGCTGCCCCATTAAATCTGCTCATTCATTCATTCATTCATTCATTCATTTATCAAAGCACCTATTATGTGCTATGTAGTGTGCAAAGTTTAGGAATATAGATGAGAACAGACAACACCCCCGACTTCATGGAATTGACATTCTAGACAAGGAGAATGAAAAATAAATGAGTGTGTTAAGTACTGACTAGTAAGTATTCTGAAGAAAAAATAGAGAAAGATGTTAGAAAGTGACAGGCTGATAGAAGGTTTTCTCTACATCAGAGAAAACCTAACTCAAAGACCTGAGGAGGTAGGGACACCAGATATACAGGTATTTAAGGGAAGAGTGCTCTGTGCACAGCGAACAAGTGCAAAGGCCCTGAGGCAGAGTGTGTTCATCCATTTTTTCTCCAGAATTGCTTTTTGAACAGCCTCTGAGTTGGGTGTTCGTATACTTCATAGTCACTGCACTATATATGAGCCAGAAGTCTCCTGAGAGGAACTGGAGCAGGACGAAATTTTTAAGTCAGATCCACTGTGATATTTCCTAAAGCCCTTGATATTTAGTTTGTGATGTTGGGCAGGTGGGCCTGATTGTGTGTCAGCAGGAGGGAGAGGAAGAGAAAGAAAAATGCCTTTGAGGAATGAATATCTCCTCTGGTCACCAGAGATAAGAAGTTCACCTAAATATCTTGTCCCTAAGCAGTATTAAACTTCAAGATTGTGACAAGGAATGTTTATTTAATTAATCTGTTTACAACTGATCCCCAAAGAGTGCATTAGACTTTTTAAAGGTCCCTTGGGAACATGAGCAGCCATGACACATTGATAGCTACCTTCTCTCCCCAACACTCAGTACACGCATTTGTCCAGTGAATATCTGAGAAGGTAAGAAAAGGCTTCTCATCAGGGCCAAGCATCTTCAAACAGAAGAGACGTGCCATCAGAACTTGGGGCTTATCCCCTCAGAAAGGGGAGGAGATAGAAGATAAATGGGGGGAAGATGGATGTTAAGTTAATTCTTAGATCTGAAAATGCTCTTCTTCTCAGTGACATCTAGAAAAAATGAAAATTAAAAATACTGGATGACTAGAGTTTAAAAATTTTACCTAATTTCTTAATGATCACCATTCTAACTGGTGTGAGATGGTATCTCATTGTGGTTTTGATTTGCATTTCTCTGATGGCCAGTGATGATGAGCATTTTTTCATGTGTCTGTTGGCTGCATAAATGTCTTCTTTTGAGAAGTGTCTGTTCATATCCTTTGCCCACTTTTTGATGGGGTTGTTTGTTTTTTTCTTGTAAATTTGTTTGAGTTCGTTGTAGATTCTAGATATTAGCCCTTTGTCAGATGAGTAGATTGCAAAATTTTTCTCCCATTCTGTAGGTTGCCTGTTCACTTGATCATAGTTTCTTTTGCTGTGCAGAAGCTCTTTAGTTTAATTAGATCCCATTTGTCAACTTTGGCTTTTGTTGCCATTGCTTTTGGTGTTTTAGACATGAAGTCCTTGCCCATGCCTAAGTCCTGAATGGTATTGCCTAGGTTTTCTTCTAGGGTTTTTATGGTTTTAGGTATAGCATTTAAGTCTTTAATCCATCTTGAATTAATTTTTGTATAAGGTGTAAGGAAGGGATCCAGTTTCAGCTTTCTACATGTGGCTAGCCAGTTTTCCCAGCACCATTTGTTAAATAGGGAATCCTTTTCTGATTTCTTGTTTTTGTCAGGTTTGTCAGGAAACAGCAGGTGCTGGAGAGGATGTGGAGAAATAGGAACACTTTTACACTGTTGGTGGGACTGTAAACTAGTTCAACCATTGTGGAAGACAGTGTGGCGATTCTTCAGGGATCTAGCACTAGAAATACCATTTGACCCAGCCATCCCATTACTGGGTATATACCCAAAGGATTATAAATCATGCTGCTATAAAGACACATGCATATGTATGTTTATTGCAGCACTACTCATAATAGCAAAGACTTGGAACCAACCCAAATGTCCAACAATGACAGACTGGATTAAGAAAATGTGGCACATATACACCATGGAATACTCTGCAGCCATAAAATATGATGCGTTCATGTCCTTTGTAGGGACATGGATGAAGCTGGAACCATCATTCTCAGCAAACTATCACAATGACAAAAAACCAAACACCGCATGTTCTCACTCATAGGTGGGAATTGAACAATGAGAACACTTGGACACAGGAAAGGGAACATCATACACCGGGTCCTGTTGTGGGTTGGGGGGAGGGGGGAGAGATAGCATTAGGAAACATACTTAATGTAAATGACGAGTTACTGGGTGCAGCACACCAACATGGCACATGTATACATATGTAACAAACCTGCATGGTGTGCACACGTACCCTAGAACTTAAAGTATAATTAAAAAATATATATATATATAAATAAAAATTTTACCCTAATTTCTAACTCTTATGGAGTGACAATTTTTAAAGATCTGCTTTTGAATTATTCTATGCACTGAATTATATCCCCCACTTCCACCAAATTCATATGTTGAAGCCCTGACCTGCAATATGACTATATCTGGAGATAAGAGTCTTTAGGAGGTAACTAAGTTTAAATGAGGTCATAAGGATGGGACCCTAGACTGATAGACTGTGGATTTATGAAAAGAGAATGCTGAACCATGTGAGGACACAGTGAGAAGGTGGCTGTCTGCAAGCCAGGAAGAGAGCCCTCACCAAAACTCAACCATTCTGGCACCCTGATCTTGGACTTTCAGCCTCCAGAACTGTGAGAAAATAAATTTCTGTTGTTTAAACCAGCCAATCTGTGAAATATTGTTGCCGTAGCCCTAGAAGACTAAGACAAATTAATATCTAGATAGCTACCCTGTGATCCAAATTAATATTTACACCCAATGTTGGGGTACCCCAATCTGGATCCTGGCGATTCTTGGCACTCTGGCAATTTAGGATTACCATTCCAAACCTCATGGGTTTCTATGTCCTCACATCTCCAAATTAAATTACATTTGGAAACAGGAACCGAGGATTTAGCTATGTCTGCTTAGCCATTTTAGTTTCTAATTAGCTTTACTTACCTCTGTCACTAATAATCTATGTAAATTCAGGTAGGCTACTTAGCCCCTCTCTCAGTTCTCCCATTGAATGAGGGTTTATGAGGGCCAAATGTCATTAGGTCTAAGTAAAAACTTCGAAAATATTGAAGTTTTAAATAAAGGCAAAAATATTAAATATTCAATAGACATGCATTCTATTCATTGAGTTCAGAGGGCTCCTGACATTTGAAGCCAGGCCTTCACTGGAGCTGCTTAGAAATGGTAACAACCAGCATTTTCATGGTTCATTCAGCCATTCCCATACCTTAACCTACTGATTATTCAAGACAGAAAAACCTTGTAAAGCACACTTCAGAGGCCTCTGGAAGAGAGGCTCCCTCAGTCAACAGAAATGGTCGGAATACACTTCTAGTTGCCTTGTCCCTGGGCTCTGTGAAAAGTTAGAGCTGGCCTGTGAGGTCAGGCAGCAAGCCTCGCCAGGCATCCGAGGCCGGCCACCCCTCCATCATTGTCAATAAGCGAGATGGAGAGACCTGTACATCATTTCATTTACTATTGCAATGATTACATAGCTCATTGCCTTCCCATTGTTTCAGTGATAGATTTAATTAACTTCCAATTAATCATAGAGGGTGATATTTAATGCTCAGCCCAGCACCATGCACAGTGTCACAGACCAAAGAATATATTCTGAAGGCTTCAGTAATCAAGAGGTCATGGAAGATAGATGTTCTTCACTGAAGAAGAGGGAAGATAAATCTGTGTGTCCAGACCACTCTGGCTAACTGTTTTAGTATAATTGTTTTGCATCCAAATGATAACTTTCCATAAGGCCCAACCATGCACAGCACAGGCGAGATAGATGAAGGGAGAGAGAGATAATAGGGTTACAATATGGAGAATTCACTTGGCTGCAATTTCCATCTAATGTCAACCAGACTGAGCTCACCGGGGAATTCTGCTTGGATCTGAGAAGTGCATGTGCCGTAGAGACTCTAGTTTAGGACCTAAAGCTGAAGAGGTGCTCTGTAAATCTTGGTCCAGTTAATAAGGAAGAAGGCCCAGACATCTTGGTTAGGTAACCTTTTTGTTTTCAACAATCTTGAGGGCATAATGACATTTTGCTCATGATGTGACATCATGTATTTTTGTCTTGTTTCTTGATATGAGGTGAGACTTGCATGTCTGAGCAATGGAAAGCTCGGGACCCTGGGTTTAGCAATGTGGTGGTCTCTCTTCATGCTGTGTTCCCGAAAAAGGACATGAGTCGTGTGATAGAAGGTCCTTGGTCTATAGCCCAGGCATCTGAAATGTTTCCAATGGATCAGAACCTTTCAGGAAAAGATTCTAGCAGTTTCCTGAGCACTCTAAGAAACTCATTGACTCAGAACACAAAAACATACTTGGAAAAAGTGGTTATTCTCCTCATAGTTAAATTTATATTCAGACAGTGATCTAGTAACAAATGATAAAACAGATTAAGATATGTTATTTATCCTTTCAATCATTGTTCTATTCATCTATTCACAATTATACGCTAAGCATTTTTATATCAAGAAAGTGGTCATTTCTGAATTATTTCAAATGATATCCAGAATAGTAAAATCTCAGATAAAAGAAGTAACTCAAACTGAACTAGAAAGTCATTGTTAACAGAATTTGAGCTAGAGTGATATTACAATCTTTGGAAAATATGTGATTACTAGTAGAATAGAGATTATTGGAGTCAATAAATTCCCTGATATAATATAAAACATTGTTTAGGTATGTGTATATTTTTCAGAAGAGGTATCCATGGATCTAAAGTGGTTTTGAGACAGCGAAAAGTTAAGAACACTGGTGCTGTAGCCATTTACACCAAAGAAATACAATACATCTGTGTCAGTGTACATGAAATAAGAAAATATTAATCAGTTCTGTAGACTTACATAATCTCTTGTTCTCAGAAAAGTAAAATCTGATATGTAATGTCTGGCATCAATAACAAATTTATTTAGGTAAATTTCTTCTTAGCGAACTGTTCAGAATAAGCGAGGCTTTGGAGATGCTGTTTGCTTTAAGTCTCTGGAGACTTGCATCTGACAAATAGCATACCTAGTGTCTGAGTATGCTTGTGATTGTTGTTGGTGTGTGTGTGTGCATGTGCGCACGTGTGTGTGT
Organism: Homo sapiens; assembly: GCF_000001405.40. NCBI lineage: Eukaryota > Metazoa > Chordata > Mammalia > Primates > Hominidae > Homo > Homo sapiens. The sequence continues at coordinate 84,311,138 of NC_000004.12, read as the reverse complement.
GTATTTGCCTGTATGCATCCACACCACAGAACCCAAAGCTCTGGAAACAACTTGACAAAGAGATTAAAGTGTGGGGAGGTCGACCTTGTCCATCTGACTGCACACACTAGCAGTCAAATGGAAAATGAAAGGTGCATGCCTTGTGTTATGATGGAGACAACCCTCTTCACTTTGTGGTGAATAAATTGGAGATGGAATAAGATCGAACTCTTGTATCATCTACCTGTCCCTCCAGTCAATAGGTTGACATCTGAGCAGGGCCATGAGATTACAGTCATGACCCAGTATAAAAGAATGAAGGACATTTGGCACTCTTCTTTCAATTCTGGTCATAAAAATGCATCAAGTTTGGCATGAGTTTCTGTTCTTGTGGAAAACGCATTCATAGGAAAGCAGAATCAGGAGATGTCCCCAGAGGATTCCTTAGAATATATCATAACATGCACCTGGTTTGCTCTCCTTAACTAAGGACTTGAGTGATTTCTCCCTTTGATCCCAAAAAGCCATTAGAATATAACTACTTGGACATGAAAATAAAGATTCTCTTTCAAGACAAACTACTTTTCCAAAGAAACATGGAATGCTGGCTGTGTGAATATAAACAAACCACTGCCTCTTGGGTAACTCCACCCAAGGAAAGCAACAGCAGAAACCTGCATGCATTATATTCTCTATCAGAGCAAATAATACAACATACCAAATTGGTTTATTAGCTCCCAGCCTCTCTTCTAGGTACTTTATTGTTCGTTTTAGGCGGTGGTGTTACCTGATGCTCTGTGCCCTCTTCAAACTTTTAGTGCAGACCTTAGTGCAGATATGGTGCAGACCTTCCCACTTCAATGTCACTTTTCTTAATCTCTTCTTCCTATGAACTTTGCTCAGTTCTTGGTCTCATTTCCTTATGTTCCTTGTATCTTCTATTCATTCTAATAATTTAATCCCTATGGAAGTGCATAGGTGTGCCAGAAGTTTGCTGCCTTTTCACATACTTGCGTTTTGGCAATCTTTTCAGAGAAACCTGTCTTACTTAGCTCAAAGAAATGAATCTAATGGTAGTAAATCTCAGTTTGTTCCAGGGGCTGAGATATTTGGATGTGTGATGAAAGGAAGAATGGAGAAACTGTCATGTTGTATGTGAAACTGTGTCATTTATGATACATGTTATCTAGTTTTAAACTGTGATCGAGGAAGTATAATTCACCCCAAAACTCCATCTACATTGGTTTACAAATAAAAATAGGAATTTTCCTATTATGAAAAATGCTTATCCTACAATCACTTTTCATAGACTCCTTATAATGTGGAGTTAGGCATTGCAATCCTTTCTTGTTCTTACATTAATTCAAAACATTTATTGAATGTCAACTATGTGCCAGACCCAGTGATTGGCACTGGGATGCAAAGATGAATAAGGCACAATCTCTGACCTCAGAGATTTCAGGTTAGTGTTGGAGATGGACAAGGAAGCAGGTAATATCCATACAGTGCTATGGCATGGGATGAAGTTACTGAGGAGGGGCACCTAAGCCTGTTATGAGGAGATAGAGACAGACTCGTGGGAAAAAGACCATTTCATTGGGGACTTGAGGAAGGAGAAGGTATGGAAAAAATTGGCATTAATTAGGATTTAGGCTTAGATTTGTAACAAAGAGACTACAAATACAGTGGCTTAAACTAGCTAAAGTGGATTTACTGCCATGAAAATCTTAAGGTAAGAGGCTTAGCGTGATGCAGCTTTCTCATCAAGTGCCTTTCACCTCTAGGTCCAAGAGGGCTGTTCCTATTGCAGCCACCTTCCTGCTAGCAAGAGTGGGGAAAGGACTAGAGACAAGAGAGAGTAACAAGTTGGGTAGACTTATAGTTCCTCAACAAAGAGAACTGACACAGAGTGAGAGGAGAGTGAGAGCAGAGTGGCCATATATGCCGCACTCAGAAATTTGGATTTTTTCACTGAGAGTGACAGGAAAACTTTGTAGGGTTTCAGGCAGGACAATGACCCAATTAGATTTTAATTTTAACTTTATTTTTACTTATTTTTTATTTTTTGAGACGGAGTCTCACCTTGTCACCCAGGCTGGAGTGCAGTGGCATGATCTTGGCTCACGGCAACCTCCGTACCCCCAGCACAAGCAATTCTTGTGCCTCAGCCTCCAGAATAGCTGGGATTACAGGTGGGTGCCACCACGCCGAGCTAATTTGTGTGCGTGTGTGTGTGTGTGTGTGTGTGTATATATATATATATATTTTTTTTTTTTTTTTCCCCTGAGGTGGAGCCTCATTCTGTTGCCCAGGCTGGAGTGCAGTGGTGCGATCTTGGCACACTGCAATTTCCACCTCCCGGGTTCAAGCAATTCTTCTGCCTCAGTCTTCCAAGTAGCTGGGACTACAGGTGTGAGCCACCATGCCAGGCTAATTTTTGTATTTTTAGTAGAGACATTTTTTAACCATGTTGGCCAGGCTGGTCTCAAAATCCTGACCTCATGATCTGCCTGCCTCAGCCTCCTAAAGTGTTGGGATTACAGGTGTGAGCCACTGCGTCTGGCCTAGATTTTAACTTTAGAATATTTACTCTGGCTGAAGAATAGAGAATAAAATGGAGTAGACAGAGAATAGTTCTTTAATGATCAATAACTCAGCATTTCATACAGCTGAACTACTCTGGAGGAGTGAATATAGAGATGAGTCACAGATTACATTTTTCTTGCAACAAGAGCCCACTGCATACTTTTTTCTCAACTAAGTGTTACTCAGTATAAAAGCATGGTCTGTCACCTATAAATGCACAGAAAATATTTTTAATTTACTATCATATAAAGGCTCACATACTACTTAAAACAACAAAACAAACTTTTCATGGCCTGATGATACAAGTAATTCATGTTCATAGTTGGAAATTTAGAAATAAGAAAAAATTTTAAATTGTAACTGTAATGATGACGCAGGTCAGATGCACAAACTTTTTCAATGGGGATATATAGACAAGTTGGATAAAAATCTTACTGAAAGGCATTGCAGAGCTGACATAGCAGTGAAGGATTATAGATCTCATATCTAGGAGGGGACCGATATCTAAAAAAGTGAGCTCAGCTTTTGGGTAGCTTTCCCCTAAGGGTGACTGTCAATCTAATAAAAGTGGCTAAGAGACTGAAATTGTTTTTGACAGCCTTGTGGGATTAAGACCACATAAAATGGAATACATGGCTAAGAAGGATGGGTCTAGGTAAACTCTATCCTTGGGTTAGAACCCAAAGGGCTGTATACTAATAGTAAGGGTGAACTGGAAGGAAATCAACATTCACATGGATGTTGACTCAGATCAAATTATCCTATTGGCTTAGAAAAATATCTGTGCCTGAAATTGGATTTATATGAACTGAGATTGCTAATGCCCGCATATACATTACAGGAACAAATGACAATCCTCTCTGAAAAAAGTTAGCATTATCCTAAACCTCAGAGTATTTGTATAAGCAATTTTAAAAATGCAATGACCAGCTCACAATCAAGGATAATCAGGCAAAAAAGGAGATAAGTAAATACAAGCAAGAATCCTTAGAAAAAAGACAATCAGACACAGAGATAGTTCAGATACTGGAATTATCAGACGGTGACTTTAAAATAACTTGTGCTTACTAAGCTCAAATAGATAAATGACATAACTGAAAATTTCGCAGTGAACTATAAACAAAAAAACAAACTTATAGCAGTTTAGAAAAAGAACCAAGTGGAAATTCTAAAATTGACAAATAACCTAAATTATGATCTCAGTGGATTGGGTTAATAGCAGATTAATCAATTCCAAAGAATGAATTAGTGTAACTGGAAGAAAATATACACAATGAAGCATGGAAAGGCAAGAGGATAGCTAAAATGAAGAAAAAGTAAACGTCATAGAGGATACCACAAGAAACTCTAATATTTCATTGGCATTCCAGAGGGAAGATAGTGTGGTATCAAAGCACTACATGGACCAAAATGTCTAGTAACTTTTCAAAAATTATGCTGGTTGTTTGTCCATAAATGAAAGTGGCCCAGCAAAGTCCAAGCAAGATAAGTAAAAAGAAATTTACATCTAGGCAGCTGATAGTAAGAATTCAACAGTCAATTGTAAGCCAATAGCTCAGAGATAACCACTATACTCATTCTTAGCAGTTACTTTGACCCCCTTCCATGGCAATTTTACGTAGTTGCTATCCTACTGAATAGACAATTTTGATTCCTACTTTTTAATTAACAGCTTTACTGAGATATAATTAACAGCCTATAAAATTCACAATTACTATTCTTTTGTTTAATCTTACATGCATTTTCACAATGAAATATTTTCCTATTCAAATATTTGGTAGGATTTGTGATTAGTTCTTTAAGATGTATTTATAGAAATTGAATTACTAGATCAAACTATGTGAACATTTTATTTATTTCTATTGATATTTGTATATATTTATTATGAGATACATGCAATACTTTGTTACATTATAGAATGTGTAATGATCAAGTCAGGATTTTTAGGGTATCCATAACCTCGAGTATCCATCATTTCTATGTATTGAGAACATTTCAGTTCCTTTCTTCTAGTTATTTTGAAATATGCAATACATCTTTGCTAAATATAGTCACCCTACTCTGCTGCTGAACATTAGAGCTTACTCTGGCTAACTGTATGTTGGTACCTATTAATCCACCTCGCTTCATCCCGCCGGCTTTCCAACATACATGCCATTCCCAGCTTCTGTTATGTGTAATTCTATTCTGTACTTTCATGAGATTCACTTTCTTAGCTCCCACATATGAGTGAGAACATGTGATATTTGTCTTTCTGTGTCTGGCTTATTTTATTTAATATAATGACTTCCAGTTCCATCAATGTTGCTGCAAATGACATGATTTCATTCATTTTTATGGCCAAATAGTATTCTTTTCTTGTGTATATATACTTCATTTCATTCGTGTATTCATTAATGGATACAGGTTTATTTCATGTCTTTGCTATTGTGAATAGTGCTGCAATAAACACAAGGATGCAAGTATTACTTCGATGTACTGATTTCCTTTCCTTTGGATAAATACCCAGTAATGTTATTGCTAGATCATACGGTAGTTCTAGTTTAGTTTTTTTGAGAAATTTCTATGCTGTGTTCCATAGTGGCTGTGCTAATTTACATTCCCATTGTATAAGATTTCCCTTTTCATTCCATCTTTACCAGCATTTATTACTTTTTGTTTTTTTAATGATGTGCATTCTCACTGGGGTAATAGTTCATTATTGTTTTGGTTTGCATTTTCCTGATGCTTTGTGATGTTGAGCATTTTTCATGTATCTATTTAACATTTGTATGTATTCCCTTGAGATATGTTCATGTCCTTTGACCACTTTTTAATGAAATTATTGTATTTTATTTTGCTGTTGTTTGAGTTCTTTGTATATTTTGGATATTCATCTCTTCTTGTATTAATAGTTTGCAAATATCTTCTTCCATTGAACATGTCTTTTACTCTATTGTTGTTTCCTTTGCTGTGCATAAATTTTTTAATTTAATATAGTTCCATTTGTCTATTTTTGTTTTTAATGCCTATGCTTTTGAGGTTTTAGTCACAATGTCTTTGACTAGACCAATGTTGTGAAGTGTTTCTGCTATGTTTTCTTCTAGTAGTTTTATACTTTTGGGTCTAACATTTAAGTCTTTAATCCATCATGAATTAATTTTTGTATATGCTGAGATAGGGGTCCAATTTCACTTTTCTGTATATAGATAATTTTCCTAGCACCATTTATTAAGAGAGTGTCTTTTCCCTGATGTATGTTCCTGATGCCTTTGTCAAAAATCAGTTAGCTATAGATACATGGATATGGGTTTCCTTCTGGGACTTTTATTCTGTTTCATTCTTCAATGTGTCTTTTTTTTTATACAGATACCATGCTCTTTGGTTACTATAGCCTTGTAATATATTGTGAAGTCAGGTAGTGTGATGCTTCCAGCTTTATTCTTTTTGCTTAGGATTGCTTTGGCTATTCAGGCTCTTTTATGGCTCCATACAAATTTTAGGATTTTTAAAATTTCTGTGAAAAATGACACTGGTATTTTGATAGGGATTGTATTGAATCTGTAGATTGCTTTGGATAGAATAGTCATTTTGACAATATTAATCCTTCCAATCCATTAGTAGGGAATGTCTTTCCATTTGTTTGTGTCCTCTTTAATTTCTTTCATCAGTGTTGTTTGGTTTTGCTTGTAGAGGTCTTTCACCTCCTTGGCTAAATTTATTCCTAGGTATTTTATTTTATTTTTCTGTAGCTATTGTAAATGGGGTTGCCTTCTTGATTTCCTTTTTTTTTTATTATACTTTAAGTTTTAGGGTACATGTGCACATTGTGCAGGTTAGTTACATATGTATACATGTGCCATGCTGGTGCGCTGCACCCACTAACTCGTCATCTAGCATTAGGTATCTCTCCCAATGCTATCCCTCCCCCCTCCCCCCACCCCACCACAGTCCCCAGAGTGTGATATTCCCCTTCCTGTGTCCATGTGATCTCATTGTTCAATTACCACCTATGAGTGAGAATATGCGGTGTTTGGTTTTTTGTTCTTGCGATAGTTTACTGAGAATGATGATTTCCAGTTTCATCCATGTCCCTACAAAGGACATGAACTCATCATTTTTTATGGCTGCATAGTATTCCATGGTGTATATGTGCCACATTTTCTTAATCCAGTCTATCATTGTTGGACATTTGGGTTGGTTCCAAGTCTTTGCTATTGTGAATAATGCCACAATAAACATACGTGTGCATGTGTCTTTATAGCAGCATGATTTATAGTCCTTTGGGTATATACCCAGTAATGGGATTGCTGGGTCAAATGGTATTTCTAGTTCTAGATCCCTGAGGAATCACCACACTGACTTCCACAATGGTTGAACTAGTTTACAGTCCCACCAACAGTGTAAAAGTGTTCCTATTTCTCCACATCCTCTCCAGCACCTGTTGTTTCCTGACTTTTTAATGATTGCCATTCTAACTGGTGCGAGATGGTATCTCATTGTGGTTTTGATTTGCATTTCTCTGATGGCCAGTGATGATGAGCATTTTTTCATGTGTTTTTTGGCTGCATAAATGTCTTCTTTTGAGAAGTGTCTGTTCATGTCCTTTGCCCACTTTTTGATGGGGTTGTTTGTTTTTTTCTTGTAAATTTGTGTGAGTTCATTGTAGATTCTGGATATTAGCCCTTTGTCAGATGAGTAGGTTGTGAAAATTTTCTCCCATTTTGTAGGTTGCCTGTTCACTCTGATGGTAGTTTCTTTTGCTGTGCAGAAGCTCTTGAGTTTAATTAGATCCCATTTGTCAATTTTGTCTTTTGTTGCCATTGCTTTTGTTGTTTTGGACATGAAGTCCTTGCCCATGCCTATGTCCTGAATGGTAATGCCTAGGTTTTCTTCTAGGGTTTTTATGGTTTTAGGTCTAACGTTTAAGTCTTTAATCCATCTTGAATTGATTTTTGTATAAGGTGTAAGGAAGGGATCCAGTTTCAGCTTTCTACATACGGCTAGCCAGTTTTCCCAGCACCATTTATTAAATAGGGAATCCTTTCCCCATTGCTTGTTTTTCTCAGGTTTGTCAAAGATCAGATAGTTGTAGATATGCGGCGTTATTTCTGAGGGCTCTGTTCTGTTCCATTGATCTATATCTCTGTTTTGGTACCAGTACCATGCTGTTTTGGTTACTGTAGCCTTGTAGTATAGTTTGAAGTCAGGTAGTGTGTTGCCTCCAGCTTTGTTCTCTTGGCTTAGGATTGCCTTGGCGATGCGGGCTCTTTTTTGGTTCCATATGAACTTTAAAGTAGTTTTTTCCAATTCTGTGAAGAAAGTCATTGGTAGCTTGATGGGGATGGCATTGAATCTGTAAATTACCTTGGGCAGTATGGCCATTTTCATGATATTGATTCTTCCTACCCATGAGCATGGAATGTTCTTCCATTTGTTTGTATCCTCTTTTATTTCCTTGAGCAGTGGTTTGTAGTTCTCCTTGAAGAGGTCCTTCACATCCCTTGTAAGTTGGATTCCTAGGTATTTTATTCTCGTTGAAGCAATTGTGAATGGGAGTTCACTCATGATTTGGCTCTCTGTTTGTCTGTTATTGGTGTATAAGAATGCTTGTGATTTTTGTACATTGATTTTGTATCCCGAGACTTTGCTGAAGTTGCTTATCAGCTTAAGGAGCTTTTGGGCTGAGACAATGGGGTTTTCTAGATATACAATCATGTCGTCTGCAAACAGGGAGAATTTGACTTCCTCTTTTCCTAATTGAATACCCTTTATTTCCTTCTCCTGCCTAATTGCCCTGGCCAGAACTTCCAACACTATGTTGAATAGGAGTGGTGAGAGAGGGCAACCCTGTCTTGTGCCAGTTTTCAAAGGGAATGCTTCCAGTTTTTGCCCATTCAGTATGATATTGGCTGTGGGTTTTTCATAGATAGCTCTTATTATTTTGAGATGCGTCCCATCAATACCTAATTTATTGAGAATTTTTAGCATGAAGGGTTGTTGAATTTTGTCAAAGGCTTTTTCTGCATCTATTGAGATAATCATGTGGTTTTTGTCTTTGGCTCTGTTTATATGCTGGATTACATTTATTGATTTGCGTCAATTGAACCAGCCTTGCATCCCAGGGATGAAGCCCACTTGATCATGGTGGATAAGCTTTTTGATGTGCTGCTGGATTCGTTTTGCCAGTATTTTATTGAGGATTTTTGCATCAATGTTCATCAAGGATATTGGTCTAAAATTCTCTTTTTTGGTTGTGTCTCTGCCCGGCTTTGGTATCAGAATGATGCTAGCTAGCCTCATAAAATGAGTTAGGGAGGATTCCCTCTTTTTCTATTGATTGGAATAGTTTCAGAAGGAATGGTACCAGTTCCTCCTTTTACCTCTGGTAGAATCCGGCTGTGAATCCATCTGGTCCTGGACTCTTTTTGGTTGGTAAACTATTGATTATTGCCACAATTTCAGCTCCTGTTATTGGTCTATTCAGAGATTCAACTTCTTCCTGGTTTAGTCTTGGGAGAGTGTATGTGTCAAGGAATTTATCCATTTCTTCTAGATTTTCTAGTTTATTTGCGTAGAGGTGTTTGTAGTATTCTCTGATGGTAGTTTGTATTTCTGTGGGATCAGTGGTGATATCCCCTTTATCATTTTTTATTGTGTCTATTTGATTCTTCTCTCTTTTTTCTTTATTAGTCTTGCTAGCGGTCTATCAATTTTGTTGATCCTTTCAAAAAGCCAGCTCCTGGATTCATTAATTTTTTGAAGGGTTTTTTGTGTCTCTATTTCCTTCAGTTCTGCTCTGATTTTAGTTATTTCTTGCCTTCTGCTAGCTTTTGAATGTGTTTGCTCTTGCTTTTCTAGTTATTTTAATTGTGATGTTAGGGTGTCAATTTTGGATCTTTCCTGCTTTCTCTTGTTGGCATTTAGTGCTATAAATTTCCCTCTACACACTGCTTTGAATGCGTCCCAGAGATTCTGGTATGTTGTGTCTTTGTTCTCGTTGGTTTCAAAGAACATCTTTATTTCTGCCTTCATTTCGTTATGTATCCAGTAGTCATTCAGGAGCAGGTTGTTCAGTTTCCATGTAGTTGAGCAGTTTTGAGTGAGATTCTTAATCCCGAGTTCTAGTTTGATAGCACTGTGGTCTGAGAGATAGTTTGTTATAATCTCTGTTCTTTTACATTTGCTGAGGAGACCTTTACTTCCAAGTATGTGGTCAATTTTGGAATAGGTGTGGTGTGTTGCTGAAAAAAATGTATATTCTGTTGATTTGGGGTGGAGAGTTCTGTAGATGTCTATTAGGTCCACTTGGTGCAGAGCTGAGTTCAATTCCTGGGTATTCTTGTTGACTTTCTGTCTTGTTGATCTGTCTAATGTTGACAGTGGGGTGTTAAAGTCTCCCATTATTAATGTGTGGGAGTCTAAGTCTCTTTGTAGGTCATTCAGGACTTGCTTTATGAATCTTGGTGCTCCTGTATTGGGTGCATATATATTTAGGATAGTTAGCTCTTCTTGTTGAATTGATCCCTTTACCATTATGTAATGGCCTTCTTTGTCTCTTTTGATCTTTGTTGGTTTAAAGTCTGTTTTATCAGAGACTAGGATTGCAACCCCTGCCTTTTTTTGTTTTCCATTTGCTTGGTAGATCTTCCTCCATCCTTTCATTTTGAGCCTATGTGTGTCTCTGCACGTGAGATGGGTTTCCTGAATACAGCACACTGATGGGTCTTGACTCTTTATCCAATTTGCCAGTCTGTGTCTTTTAATTGGAGCATTTAGTCCATTTACATTTAAAGTTAATATTGTTATGTGTGAATTCGATCCTGTCATTATGATGTTAGCTGGTGATTTTGCTCGTTAGTTGATGCAGTTTCTTCCTAGTCTCGATGGTCTTTACATTTTGGCATGATTTTGCAGTGGCTGGTACCGGTTGTTCCTTTCCACGTTTAGCTCTTCCTTCAGGAGCTCTTTGAGGGCAGGCTTGGTGGTGACAAAATCTCTCAGCATTTGCTTGTCTGTAAAGTATTTTATTTCTCCTTCGCTTATGAAGCTTAGTTTGGCTGGATATGAAATTCTGGGTTGAAAATTCTTTTCTTTAAGAATGTTGAATATTGGCCCCCACTCTCTTCTGGCTTGTAGGGTTTCTGCCGAGACATCTGCTGTTAGTCTGATGGGCTTCCCTTTGAGGGTAACCCGACCTTTCTCTCTGGCTGCCCTTAACATTTTTTCCTTCATTTCAACTTTGGTGAATCTGACAATTATATGTCTTGGAGTTGCTCTTCTCGAGGAGTATCTTTGTGGCGTTCTCTGTGTTTCCTGAATCTGAACGTTGGCCTGCCTTGCTAGATTGGGGAAGTTCTCCTGGATAACATCCTGCAGAGTGTTTTCCAACTTGGTTCCATTCTCCCCATCACTTTCAGGTACACCAATCAGACGTAGATTTGGTCTTTTCACATAGTCCCATATTTCTTGGAGGCTTTGCTCATTTCTTTTTATTCTTTTTTCTCTAAACTTCCCTTCTTGCTTCATTTCATTCATTTCATCTTCCATCGCTGATACCCTTTCTTCCAGTTGATCGCATTGGCTCCTGAGGCTTCTGCATTCTTCACTTAGTTCTCAAGCCTTGGTTTTCAGCTCCATCAGCTCCTTTAAGCACTTCTCTGTATTGGTTATTCTAGTTATACATTCTTCTAAATTTTTTTCAAAGTTTTCAACTTCTTTGCCTTTGGTTTGAATGTCCTCCCGTAGCTCAGAGTAATTTGATCATCTGAAGCCTTCTTCTCTCAGCTTGTCAAAGTCATTCTCCATCCAGCTTTGTTCTGTTGCTGGTGAGGAACTGAGTTCCTTTGGAGGAGGAGAGGCGCTCTGCGTTTTAGAGTTCCCTGGTTTTCTGTTCTGTTTTTTCCCCATCTTTGTGGTTTTATCTACTTTTGGTCTTTGATGATGGTGATGTACAGATGGGTTTTTGGTGTGGATGTCCTTTCTGTTTGTTAGTTTTCCTTCTAACAGACAGGACCCTCAGCTGCAGGTCTGTTGGAATACCCTGCCGTGTGAGGTGTCAGTGTGCCCCTGCTGGGGGGTGCCTCCCAGTTAGGCTGCTCGGGGGTCAGGGGTCAGGGACCCACTTGAGGAGGCAGTCTGCCCGTTCTCAGATCTCCAGCTGCGTGCTGGGAGAACCACTGCTCTCTTCAAAGCTGTCAGACAGGGGCATTTAAGTCTGCAGAGGTTACTGCTGTCTTTTTGTTTGTCTGTGCCCTGCCCCCAGAGGTGGAGCCTACAGAGGCAGGCAGGCCTCCTTGAGCTGTGGTGGGCTCCACCCAGTTGGAGCTTCCCGGCTGCTTTGTTTACCTAAGCAAGCCTGGGCAATGGCGGGCGCCCCTCCCCCAGCCTTGCTGCCGCCTTGCAGTTTGATCTCAGACTGCTGTGCTAGAAATCAGCGAGACTCCGTGGGCGTAGGAGCCTCCGAGCCAGGTGGGGGTTATAATCTCGTGGTGCGCCGTTTTTTAAGCCGGTCCGAAAAGCGCAATATTCCGGTGGGAGTGACCCCATTTTCCAGGTGCCGTCCGTCACCCCTTTCTTTGACTTGGAAAGGGAACTCCCTGACCCCTTGTGCTTCCCAAGTGAGGCAATGCCTCACCCTGCTTGGGCTCGCACACGGTGCGCGCACCGACTGACCTGCGCCCACTGTCTGGCACTCCCTAGTGAGATGAACCCGGTACCTCAGATGGAAATGCAGAAATCACCCGTCTTCTGTGTCGCTCACGCTGGGAGCTGTAGACTGGAGCTGTTCCTATTCAGCCATCTTGGCTCCTCCTTGATTTCTTTCTCAGCTAGTTCGTTAGTTGTGTACAAAAACTCTACTGAGTTTTGTATGTTGATTTTGCATTCTGCAAATTTTTACTAATTTATTTATGAGATCTAAGAGTTTTTTAAAGAAGTCTTTAGGTTTTCATATGTATAAGGTCATGTCAGCTTCAGAGAGGGACATTTTGAATTTCTCTTTTCCAATTTGAATGCCTTTCTTTTTCTTGCCTGATTGCTCTAGCTAAAACTTCCAGTACTATGTTGAATAGAAATGCTGAAACTGGGCATCCTTGTCTTGTTCTAGCTCTTAGAGGAAAGGGTTTTGGCTTTTCCCCATTTAGAATAATGTTAGCTTTGGGTTTGTTTTATATGGTCTTTATTATGTCGAGTTGTGTTTCTTCTATGCCTAGTTTGTTGAGAGTTTTTATCATGAGGAGATACTGAATTTTATCAAATGCTTTTTCTGCATCTATTGAGGTGTTCATATGGTTTTTGTCCTTCATTCTGTTGATGCAATGTGTCACATTTATTGATTTGCCTATGTTGAACCATTTTTCTATCCCTAGAATAAATCCTGCTTAATCATGGTTTTTTAAAATGTGCTGTTGAATTCAGTTTGCTAGTATTTTGGTAAGAACTTTTGCATCTATGTTCATCGGGCATATTGATGTGTAATTTTCTTTTTTGTGTGTGTGTCCTTATTTAGTTTTGGGTTCAGGATGATGCTAGCCTCTTATAATGAGTTAGGGAGAATTATTTTCTCCCCAATTTAAAAAAATATTTTGAGAAGAAGTTGTGTTAGTTCTTCTTTGTAAGTTTGGTAGAATTCTGTAATAAAGCTATCTGGTTCTAGGCTTTTCTTATTGGGAGACATTTAATTACTGATTCAATCTTACCACTTGTTATTGGTCTTTTCAGTTTTTCTATTTCTTCTTGTTTCAATCTTGGTAGGTTGTATGTGTCCAGGAATTTATCCAATTCCTCTTGATTTTCCAGTTTGTTAGTGTATAGTTGCTCATAATAGTCTCTGATGATCTTTTGCATTTCTGTGGTATCAGTTGTAATGTATTCTTTTTTCATTCTGATTTAGTTATTTGCGTCTTCTCTTTTTCTTGGCTAGTCTATCTAGTGGTTTACCAATTTTGTTTACCTTTTAAAAAACCAACTTATTTTGTTGATCTCTTGTATTCTTCTTAGTTTATATTTGGTTTAGCTCTTCTCTGAACTTTATTATTTCTTTCCTTCCACTAATTTCAGATTTAGCTTGTTCTTGCTTTTCTAGTTTTTTAAGGTACATCATTAGACTATTTGAAATCTTTCAACTTTTTTATGAAGGTGTTTATTGCTATATACTTCTCTCTTAGCACTGCATTTGCTATGTCTGATAGGTTTTGATGTGTTGCATTTTGGTGTTTATTTGCTCCAAGACATTTTTTTTAAACATTTTCTCCTTAATTTCTTCCTTGACCCAATGGTCATTCAGGAATGTCTTATTTAATTTCCATGTATTTTTACAGTTTCTAAAGTTTTTCTTGTTATTTATTTCTAGATTCATTCCACTGTAGTTTGAGAAAACACTTGATATAATTTCAATTAAAAAATTTGTTGAGACTGGTTTTGTGTCCTAACATATGGTCTATCCTGAAGAATGTTTCATGTGGTGATAAGAAGAGTGTGTATTCTGTAGCTGTTGGATGAAATGTTCTGTAACTGTCTCTTAGGTCCATTTGCTATTAATTGCAGTTTAAATCCAACATTTCCTTGATAATTTTCTGTCTGGACAATCTGTCTAATGGTGAGAGTGGGGTGTTGAGGACCCCAACTATGGTCATATTGGAATCTATCTTTCCCTTTTGGTCTAATAATATTTACTTTGTATATCTGGGTGCTCTGGTGTTGGGTTAATATATGCTTAGAATTATGATGTCTTCTTGCTGAATTGATCCCTTTGTCATTCTATAATGAGCTTCTTTGTATCTTTTTACTGTTTTTGATTTAAAGTCTGTTTTGTCTGATGTAAGTATAGCTACTCCTGTTCATTTTTGGTTTCTGTTTGCACGGAATATTTTTTCCAACTCTTTATTTTTCAGTTCATGTGTGTATTTACAGGTGAATTTCTTGTAGGCAGCATATAGTTGGGTCATTTTTAAAAAATCCATTGAGCAAGTCTATATATTTTAAGTGAATAGTTTAATCCATTTACATTAAAGACAATTATTAATATATGAAGGCTTGTCCTGTCATTTTATTATTTTATTTTTGGTTCTTTTGTATAGCCTTTCTTTCTTTCTTTTTTATTGTTTATCATTATGGTTGAATAGTTTTATGTAGTGGCAACATTTGAGTCCTTTGTCTTCCTTATTTGTGTGTTTTTTCTCAAAGTGTGTGAATATTTTAAACCTCTCATACATTTGAGAAGATAGAACCAATTTAAATTCCCATTGATGTGAACTGGTAGAAGTGAAGGAAAGGGCCCATCTCATTGCACTATTACCAGCATAAGGTAATAGAATTTAGATAATCTTAATTTAGTAGGTGATAAATATTACTTTTAGTCCATAACAATTTTTTCTCATCAAATATTTGACAATTTTTATGGATGTGAAATATAATCATTAATCAAAAGATACCATAGTTTGATAATTTTTCATAATTTCTGAATTAAATTTTTTCATTCTCTTTAAAATGTTCTGTTGATATTGAATACATGATTTTTTTTTTTTTTCTGGTCTGGCTATTTTGCATTCTTTTGCTCTCTTAAAATCTTACATGTTTCAACATCTATGTTCCTCTTCTTTAGCATTAAAAAGTATTGTACTTCTTTTGTAACCTGGGTTACTTTAAATAATTAATTTTGCATTATGTTTAAGGGAGAGCCACAACTCGATAAATAGCATTATTAATATATTAGGTCAGTACAAAGTCTAGCAAGAGTTTGTTCTTTTTCTATCAAAGTTTTTGAAACTTTCTTCATTTCTTAGAGTGCCATGTAATTGCTCAGAATTTAAGAATACCTTTATCCTGAATGTTTTGCCTCAAAATGACATTTGCTAACACCATCAAAAAGTGGGCAAGGGATATGAATAGACGTTTCCTAAAGAAAATGTACAAATGGTCAACAAACATGAAAAAATGCTCAGCATCACTAATCATCAGGGAAATGCAAATTAAAATTACAATGAGATAGCATCTTATTCCTGCAAGAATGGCCATTATTAAAGTAAAAAAACAATAGATATTGGCATGGATGTGGGGAAAAGGGAACACTTGCATACTGCTGGTAGAAATGTAAATTAGAACAACCTCCGTGGAAGATTGCTTAAAGAACTAAAAGTAGATCTACCATTTGATCCAGCAATCCTGCTACTGGGTATCTATCCAAAGGAAAATAAGTCATTATATGAAAAAGACACTTGCACACATATGTTTATAGCAGCACAATTCATATTTGCAAAGATGTGGAACCAACGTAAGTACTCATCTACTAATGAGTGGATAAAGAAAATGTGGTATATATGCACCATGGAGTACTACTCAGCCATTAAAAGGAATGAAATAGTGTCTTTGGCAGCAACTTTAGATGGAGCTAGCGGTCATTATTTTAAGTGAAGGAACACAGGAATAGAAAACCAAAAACTGTATGTTCTCACTTATAAGTAGGAGATTAGCTGTGGTATGCAAAGGCATACAGAGTGATATAATGGACTTCAGAAACTCGGAAGAGGGAGGGTGAGAGGTGGGGATAGGGTTAAAAAAAAACTACACATTAGGTGCAATGTATACTCCTCAGGTGGCAGGTGCACTAAAATCTCAGAATTCACTGCTATATAATTTATCCATGTAACAAAAAAACACTTGTACTCTAAAAGCTACTAAAATAAAAAAAATTTAGATGACATTTTGCTCCCTAGCCCCTCCTCATTCAAATGTTACTATATGACTTCTCTGAGTTGCACTGTCTTTGCTCTTTTCCTCCAAAGCCTTGAGCTTTCCAATGAGTACACCAGGTAGAAATTTTCAAGCACAATTTTTAAAAAAGCAGGTTACTGAATGTAAGTAAAGATAGTTTCTATTCTTCTTTGTTATGGGCTGAATAGTGTCCCCTGCAAATTCATAAAGTTAAAGTCCTAATTTCCAATACCTCAGAATGTGACTATATTTAGAGATAAGGCTTTAAAGTAGCAATTAAATAAAAATCAGGTCATCAGGATGGGCCCTAATCCAATTTAACTGGATCTTTATAAGGAAAGGAGGTTAGAACACAGACACACACAGAGGAAAGACAGTGTTGAAGGCACAGGGACAAGACAGCCATTCACAAGCCGAAGAGAGAGGCCTCAGAGGAAACTAACCCTGCCAACAATTTAATCTTAGATTTCTAGCTTCTAGAATACTGAGAAAATAAATTTCTGTTGTTTAAGCCACCCAGCCCGTGGTACTTTGTATGGCAGCCCTAGTAAACTAATAGATTATGAATGAGTGGAAGGGCAAGCTGAGATTTAGGAAGGACAAACCATGAATACTCTTCTTTTCCTTGGAAAAAGAAAACCAAAGTAAAGTTTCTCAGCCAAAGGTGTAATATCAGCAAAGACTTATAAAGTGAATACAATGCTCTTTTTTTCTTTGAAAGTACACATTCTGAGGTGATGAAAAAAGAAAATAAGAATTTTGAAAAAAACTCAAGAAGTCTTGATCTCAATATGAGGTTTTAATTATTCATGGAGCCCTAGTCCCTAGAACTTCTGTAATCACTAGAAATGTGTGTTTATTATGGTGAATCATAAGAGATTTGTGGATTTGAGTTCCAAATCTGAATTTACAGCAGCTTGATTTAAGTTAAATTCCTGTCTTTATCCACACAACACTGCAGTCCCTGAATGCTGAGCTGGCCTGAAACTTCATAGTACCAATATATGATATTAGTTATCTTGTCCAGGTTATTGTGATGTGTAAAGATTAATTTTATAGCATGGAACCAAAATACACTCAGCTTTATTGGACCTTTTACCTTTAGCTGAGGAGAGGTATTAATAAGCATCAGGTCCTCCTTCAGCCAAAAAGTTATAGATTTTTCCAGAAAAGAGGAAAGGCATACTTTCCTTTAAAGAAATAGTACTAACTCTTACTAACAATAATCATGATATACATTTTTATAGGACAGAACAATTTGCAGAGTGCTTTTAGTATGCCTGGTTTTTTTTAGTCATCACAATCCTAGATGAGAGGTATCATTGAGTTTCCCAGAGGCAAAATGATTTTCTAAAATCACAAGGTTGCTTGGTTGGTTAGCTGGTAATTTTACTAGAACTCCAATATTAAGCTTACTGTTTTTGCCACAATTATCTTTCAGGATAAAATTTTTTATTTTCCTTTCCTTTCAGTCATGGTCTGGAGTCAAGAAATGAAGAGGGCAAGCAATGTTTTTGGCATCCTGACTACAGTTACATGCAGTTTGGGGCTGCTGCAATGGCAACTCAACGGAGAGGTTAGGAACACCAACTCCAGGATCAGGCAATCTTTGAATCCCTGTCACTAGCAGCTTTGTATATTGGAGCAAGTTACTTAACATCTGTAAGTCCTAGATTTCTCATCTTTAAAATGGGGGAAAATGCCTCTTCATAGCATTTTAAAAAATCTATAATGTATATAACAACCTTATATAATTTACTACCAGGTACTGGTTCAATGTTAAATGCCTCAACAGCACCTTTTAAAAATTCAGGGCCAGGTGCGGTGGCTCATGCCTGCAATCTCAGCACTTTAGGAGGCCAAGGCGGGCAGATCACTTGAGGTCAGGAGTTTGAGACCAGCCTGGCCAACATGGTGAAGTCCTGTCTCTACTAAAAAATACAAACGTTAGCCGGGCGTGGTGATGCACGCCTGTGATCCCAGCTACTTGGGAGGCTGAGGCAAATTTGCTTGAACGTGGGAGGCAGAGGTTGCAGTGAGCTGAGATCTGGCCACTGC
This sequence comes from Homo sapiens, assembly GCF_000001405.40. Lineage (NCBI taxonomy): Eukaryota > Metazoa > Chordata > Mammalia > Primates > Hominidae > Homo > Homo sapiens. The sequence continues at coordinate 84,292,823 of NC_000004.12, read as the reverse complement.
ACTCCAGCCTGAATGATAGAGTGAGACTCCATCTCAAAAAAAAAAAAAAAAAAAAAATCAATAGTATTTAGCAACTTTCAAGTCAGACTCAGGTTGGGTATTATCATTAATGCAACAGAACATGCTCTCTTAACACTTTTTTCCTGAAACTTCATTAAAAACAAACATCTGTATATGGAAAATTTGGTTTGGGGATTAGGTCAGATTGTTTATGGAAAGGTTTTTTTGGGAAATGATCTGAATCTTTGTTGTCATACATGGGCTCTTCTCTCTGGTTGATCCCTTTTTCCTTAAAATTTATATTGTGGGGAAAAGTTTAAATAAAACATTTTTCAAGAATTGAAACTTCAAGTGGAGAGGAGATAGGCAATGTGCAAATTTTGAGGTGGCGGAAGTTAACACAGGCTCGCAGGCCTTCCCCTGTTGTGCTGACTGTGCCTGTTTCCCAAGGATTTGTACTAATATATAGCATATTTTATACATAACTCTATAATACAATTACATTTCTCCAATGCATGTAGTATTTTCCACTTTATGGAATAATTCATTTCTAACTATGGTATTTACATTTCACCCTGTAGTAAATTTTATCTTTTATTTGAAGTATGCTTTTATAACATCTAAGTTCAACAAATAGACTGAGGACAGAGGTAAAGAGGTTACTCTAGGTCAAGGCACAAATGGAAAACGTGCTAGCAGCATTAAGCTCCAGTGATTAGAATTCAGAGAAAAAGACTTCTTTCTTTAGTATGATTAATCTAGTTTTGTTCCATTAGGAGATGGTTTCAGCCCTTGTTGATTAAAAATGAAAGACAACACTAACGTAAAACACAGAAAACAAAGATTACTGGATTATTGGCAATTTTTTTTCCAGTTTTAACTTTTATACTGTTTTTTTTGTATTATACTTTAAGTTATGGGATACATGTGCAGAACGTGCAGGTTTGTTACACAGGTATACACGTGCTATGGTGGTTTGCTGCACCCATCAACCTGTCATCTACATTAGGTATTTCTCCTAATGCTATCCCTCACCTAGCCGCCCACTCCCTGACAGGCCCCTGTCAGGGGCCTGTGTATGATGTTCCCCTCCCTGTGTCCATGTGTTCTCATTGTTCAACTCCCACTTATGAATGAGAACATGTAGTGTTTGGTTTTCTGTTCCTGTGTTAGTTTGCTGAGGATGATGACTTCCAGATTTATCCATGTCCCTGCAAAGGACAAGATCTCATTTTTTATGGCTGCATAGTATTCCATGGTGTATACATAACCACATTTTCTTTATTCAGTCTATCATTGATGGGCATTTGGGTTGATTCCATGTCTTTGCTATTGTGAATAGTGCTGCAATAAACATACACATGCATGTGTCTTTATAACAGAATGATTTATATTCTTTTGGGTATATACCCAGTAATGTGATTGTTGGGTCAAATGATATTTCTGGTTCTAGATCCTTGTGGAATCACCACACTGTCTTCTACAATAGTTGAACTAATTTACACTCCCACCAACAGTGTAAAAGCATTCCTATTTCTCCACATCCTCTCCAGCATTTGTTATTTCCTGACTTTTTAATGATCACCATTCTAACTGGCGTGAGATGGTATCTCATTGTGGTTTTGATTTGCATTTGTCTAATGACCAGTGATTATGAGCTTTTGTTCATGTTTGTTGGCCGCATAAATGTCTTCTTTTGAGAAATGTCTGTTCATATCCTTTGCCCACTTTTTGATGGAGTTGTTTGTTTTTTTCTTGTAAATTTGTTTAAGTTCTTTGTAGATTTTGGATACTAGCCCTTTGTCAGATAGATAGATTGAAAAAATTTTCTCCCATTCCATAGGTTGCCTGTTCACTCTGATGATAGTTTCTTTTGCTGTGCAGAAGCCCTTTCGTATTTGTTTGTGTCCTCTCTTATTTCCTTGAGCATTGGTTTGTAGTTCTCCTTGAAGAGGTCCTTTGCATCCCTTGTAACTTGCACTCCTAGGAATTTTATTCTCTTCGTAGCAATTGTGAATGGAAGTTCACTCATGATTTGGCTATTTGTCTATTATTGGTGTATAGGAATGCTTGTGATTTTTACACATTGATTTTGTATCCTGAGACTTTGCTGAAGTTGCTTATTAGCTTAAGGAGATTTTGGGCTGAGATTATGGTGTTTTCTAAATTTACAATCATGTCATCTGTAAACAGAGACAATTTGACTTCCTCTCTTCCTATTTGAATATGCTTTATTTCTTTCTCTTGCTTGATTGCCCTGACCAGAACTTCCAATACTATGTTGAATAGGAGTGGTGAGAGAGGGCATCCTTGACTTGTGCCAGTTTTCAAAGGGAATGCTTCCAGCTTTTGCCCATTCAGTTTTATATTGGCTGTGGGTTTGTCATAAATAGCTCTTATTATTTTGAGATATGTTCCATCAATACCTAATTTATTGAGATTTTTTTAGCATGAATGGATGGTGAATTTTATTAAAGGCCTTTTCTGCGTCTATTGAGATAATCGTGTGGTTTTTGTCATTGGTTCTGTTTATGTGATGGATTACATTTATTGATTTGCCTATGTTGAACCAGTCTTGCATCCCAGGGATGAAGCCAACTTGGTTGTGGTGGATAAACTTTTTGATGTACTGCTGGAATTGGTTAGCCAGTATTTTATTGAGGATTTTTGCATCAATGTTCGTCAGGGAAATTGGCCTGAAATTTTCTTTTTTGATTGTGTCTCTGCCAGGTTTTGGTATCAGGATGATGCTGGCTTCATAAAATAAGTTAGGGAGCAGTCCCTCTTTTTCTATTGTTTGGAATAGTTTCAGAAGGAAAGGTACCAACTCCTCTTTGTACCTCTGGTAGAATTAGGCTGTGAATCTGCCTGGTCCTGGGCTTTTCTTTGTTGGTAGGTTGTTAATAACTGCCTCAATTTCAGAACTTGTTATTGGTCTATTCAGGGATTTGACTTCTTCCTGGTTTAGTCTTGGGAGAGTTTATGTGTCTAGGAATTTATCCATTTCTCCTAGATTTTCTAGTTTATTTGTGTAGAGGTGTTTATAGTATTCTCTGATGGTAGTTTGTATTTCTGTGGGATCAGTGGTGATCTCACCTTTATCATTTTTTATTGTGTCTATTTGATTCTTCTCTCTTTTATTCTTTATTAGTCTGGCTAGCAGTCCATCTAGTTTGTTAATCTTTTCAAAAAACCAGCTCCTGGATTCATTGATTTTTTGAAGGGTGTTTTCATGTCTCTCTCTCCTTCAGTTCTGCTCTGATCTTAGTTATTTCTTGTCTTTTGCTAGGTTTTGAATTTGTTTTCTCTTGCTTCTTGCTTCTCTAGTTCTTTTAATTGTGATGTTAAGATGTCGATTTTAGATCTTTCCCACTTTCTCCTGTGGGCATTTAGTGCTATAAATTTCCCTCTAAACACTGCTTTAGCTGTGTCCCAGAGATTCTGGTGTGTTGTGTCTTTGTTCTCATTGTTTTCAAAGAATTCATTTATTTCTGTCTTTATTTTGTTATTTACCCAGTAGCAGTCATTCAGGAGCAGGTTGTTCAGTTTCCACGTAGTTGTGCAGTTTTGAGTGAGTTTCTTAATCCTGAGTTCTAATTTGATTGTACTATGGTCAGAGAGACAGTTTGTTATGATTTCCATTATTTTGCTTTTGCTGAGCAGTGTTTTACTTCCAATTATGTGGTCAAATTTAGAATAAGTGTGATGTGTTGCTGAAAAGAATGTATATTCTGTTGATTTGGGGTGGAGAGTTCTGTAGATGTCCATTAGCAATTCTCGTGTCTCAGCCTCCCAATTACAGGTGTGCACTACCACACACAGATAATTTTTGTATTTTCAGTAGAGACAGGGTTTCACTATGTTGGCCAGGCTGGTCTTGAACCCCTGACCTCAGGCAATCCACCTGCCTCGACCTCCCAAAGTGCCCAGATTACAGACATGAGCCACCACACCTGGCCATGCAACTTTTCTTAATGTTGTGTTCTTACAGACAACTAGAAGACAATGATGATTGTTTGAAGTTTATAATATATCGGTATTGTAAAAGCAACATTTTTTGTTCATGAGACAAGGTGTTCACCAGAAATCTGGGGTTTAGGAGAAACTACTAAGTGAGTGAAGTTGTAGTTGGACAAAACAAGAAATGCCAGAACAGAAATTAGAACCATGAGGCATTTTATTAATTATCGTGGAGACCAGTCACACAATTTACAACTTTTGTTTCCACCTGTTTTATGAGGTCCACTTGGTCCAGAGCTGAGTTCAAGTCCTGAATATCCTTGTTAATTTTCTGTCAATTGATCTGTCTAATATTGAAAGTGGGGCATTAAAGTCTCCCACTATTATTGTTTGGGAGTCTAAGTCTCTTTGTAGCTCTCTAAGAACTTGCTTTATGAATCTGGGTGCTCCTGTATTGGGTGCATATATATTTAGGATAGTTAGCTCTTCTTGTTGCATTGATCCCTTTACCATTATGTCATGCCCTTCTTTGTCTTTTTTGATCTTTGTTGGTTTAAAATCTGTTTTATCAGAGACTAGGTTTACAACCCTTGCTTTTTTCTTGGCTTTCCATTTGCTTGATGAACATTCCTCCAACCCTTTATTTTGAGCCTATGTGTGTCTTTGCATGTGAGATTGGTCTCCTGAATACAGCACACTGATGGGTCTTGACTCTTTATCCAATTTGCCAATGTGTGTCTTTTAATTGGGGTATTTAGCCCATTTACATTTCAGATTAATATTATTATGTATGAATTTGATCCTGTCATTATAATGCTAGCTGGTTATTTTGCCTGTTAGTTGATGCAGTTTCTTCATAGTATTGATGGTCTTTACAATTTGGTATGTTTGTTTCAGTGGCTGGTACCAGTTTTCCCTTTCCATATTTAGTGCTTCCTTTAGGAGCTCTTGTAAGGCAGGCCTGGTGATGACATAATCTCTCAGCATTTGCTTGTCTGTAAAGGATTTTATTTCTCCTTCACTTATGAAGCTTAGTTGGGCTGGATATGAAATTCTGGGTTGAAAACTCTTTTTTTTTAAGTGTCGAATATTGGCTCCTACTCTCTTCTGTCTTGTAGGGTTTCTGCAGAGCGATCCACTGTTAGTCTGATGGGCTTCCTTTTGTGGGTAACCCGACCTTTCTCTCTGGCTGCCCTTAACATTTTTTTCCTTCATTTCAACCTTGGTGAATCTGACAATTATGTGTCTTTGGGTTGCTCTTCTTGAGGAGTATCTTTGTGGTGTTCTCTGTATTTCCTGAATTTGAATGTTGGTCTGTCTACCGAGGTTGGGGACGTTCTCCCAGATAATATCCTGAAGAGTGTTTTTCACCTTGGTTCCATTCTCCCCGTCACTTTCAGGTACACCAATCAAATGTAGGTTTGGTCTTTTCACATAGTCCCATATTTCTTGGAGGCTTTGTTCATTCCTTTTCATTCTTATTTCTCTAATCTTGTCTTCATGCTTTATTTCATTAAGTTGATCTTCAATCTCTGACATCTTTTCTTCTGCTTGATTAATTTGGCTATTGATACTTGTGTATGCTCTATGAAGTTCTTGTGCTGTGTTTTTCAGCTCCATCAGGTCATTTATATTCTTCTCTAAACTGGTTATTCTAGTTAGCAATTCTTCTAACATTTTTTTCAGGTTTTTAGCTTCCTTACATTGGGTTAGAACATGCTCCTTTAGCTCAAAGGAGTTCGTTATTATCCACCTTCTGAAGCCTGTCAATTCACGAGACACATTATCCATCTAGTTTTGTTTCCTTTCTGGTGAGTAGTTGTGATTTTTTGGAGGAGAGGAGGCTTTCTGGTTTTTGGAATTTTCAGCCTTTTTGTGCTGGCTTTTCCTCATCTTCATGGATTTATCTACCTTTGATCTTTGATGTTGGTTACCTTCAGATGGGGTTTTTGTGTGGATGTCCTTTTTCTTGATATTGATGCTATTCTTTTCTGTTTGTTAGTTTTCCTTCTAACAGTCAGGCCCCTCTGCTGCAGGTCTGCTGGAGTTTGCTGGAGGTTCACTCCAGACCCTATTTGCCTGGGTATCACCAGTGGAGGCTGCAGAACAGCAAAGATTGCTGCCTATTCCTTCCTCTGGAAGCTTCTTCCTAGAGAGTCACCTGCCAGATGCCAGCCAGAGCTCCCCGAAATGAGGTATCTGTCAACTGCTGCTAGGAGGTGTCTCCCAGTCAGGAGGCACAGGGGTCAGGGATCCACTTGAGGAGGCAGTCTGTCCCTTAGCAGAGCTCGAGCACTGTGCTAGGAGGTCCGCTGCTGTCTTCAGAGCTGGAAGACAGGAATGTTTAAGTCTGCTGAAGCTGTGCCCACAGCTGCCCCTTCCCCCAGGTGCTCTGTCTCAGGGAGATGGGAGTTTAATCTATAACTCCCTGACTGGAGCTGCTGATTTTCTTTCAGAGATGCCCTGCCCAGAGAGGAGGAATCTAGAGAGGCAGTCTGTCTACAGTGTCTTTGCCCAGCTGCCATTGGTTCCACCCATTTGAACTTCCTGGCGGCTTTGTTTACACTTTTAGGGGAAACCCACATACTCAGGCCTCAATAATGGCAGACGCCCCTTCCCCCACCAAGATCCAGCATTCCAGGTCAACTTCAGACTGCTGTGCTGGCAGTGAGAATTTCAAGCCAGTGGATCTTAGCCTGCTGGGCTGCATGGGGGTGGGATCCGCTGAGCTAGACCAGTTGGCTCCCTGGCTTCAGCAACGTTTCCAGGGGAATGAACAGTTCTGTCTAGCTGGCGTTCAGGTGCCACTGGGGTATGAAAAAAACTCTTGCAGCTAGCTCAGTGTCTGCCCAAACGGCCATGCAGTTTTGTGTTTGAAACCCAGGGCCCTAGTGGCATAGGCACCCAAGGTAATCTCTTGGTCCACAGGTTGTGAAGACCATGGGAAAAGTGTAGTGTCTGGGCTGGAGTGCACCGTTCCTTACAGCACAGTCCCTTGTGGCTTCCCTTGGCTCAGGGAGGGCATTCCCTGACCCCTTGCCCTTCCTGGGTGAAGTAACACCCCACCCTGCCTTGGCTCAGCCTCCATGGGCTGTACCCACTGTCTAACCAGTCCCAATGAGATGAGCCAGGTACCTCAGTTGGAAATGCAGAAATCACCTGCCCTCTGCATTGATCTTGCTGGGAGCTGCAGACCATAGCTGTTCCTATATGGCCATCTGGCCAGCCACTGATTATTGGCAATTTTGTGTATTGGGAATATGAAGTGTTGGAGTTTTATTTGATGGAGTGTGAGTAGAGACATCTTTGGAGTATTTGACATGATACAAGAGTTTCAGGTTTTGAAACTCAATTGTAATTCAGTACATAGTCATTCCCCCAACTCAGCATAGGAATGGGTGCCTAGAGAGAAGAAAGAGAGACATCACAAAACATTGCTTCTTTTATAGAATTATTTGAGGGAGGGCATTGCCTAATAGAGCGATTTGCTCAGTTTTGTAATTATCCATGGTATTTATAGAACTCACATAAAGCAATCTAATGTTACAGAAGTAATATTACACTGGACTTAGATGGACTAGAGAGAGCTCAAAGTGATTTGGATGATGCCATTGTCCAAGTGAGTGAATTTATTTCCAATAGCAACAGAGTACAATACAGAACTTGAAGTAAAGCATGTTTATTTCTAGAAAATGTGTTTATTCTCTTATGAGCTGTTTCTGTCTCTGATTAAGAGACTGTTATAGTAAGCTGAGAAGACTCAGGTCAGACTCCCAGGAGCTCAGGCAATAACTCAATCAGAAACAGGTAAGAGCTGAATTGGAGGGTACTGTCAATCACTGCTCAGTTAGGTCAAACTGATCATGACTGTTGGCATGGCTTCACCTGGCAAACATTTAGAGTACTAAGAGAAGGAAAAAATAGACACTCATACACCTATGTTCTCAAAGTAAAATTCATTTTGGCTACTTGCCTAAGACCCCCTGGAGAATCCCAACAGAGATGAGACTCAGCTTTACTAGTTAGAAAGATAGACTTCTGCTCAATGTTCCAGCAGTTCTACATGGTTGCTTCCAGCACCAATTTATTTGATAACAAACTTAGTTACCAAGCACTACACTTCCTCTCTCTTGCCTAACCCAGGGAAAAATTCAATTGGTTTTCAATTACTCCTTTTTGACTGAATTTGTCCAAGAAAATATCTTTACCCTTCAGTGAGCAGGAGGAAGAGAGAATTTGGGGATGAGGGATGGAGAGGAGTTGAAAATCATGGCAAGAAGAGGCCCACAGGTGGAAATTATGTGCGACTATTACCTGAGCTCCTGCTAGTCATTACATACATGGCTTCTGGGATCAGCTGGCCTGTCTAGTTGTGGTTCCAACACAAGAATGCACTAGAAAATGCATTCTTAGGAAAGTATTTCACAATCAAATCATATTTTGACATTTAGAGTAGCCCAATTAAACAGTAACTATTGTTTTCTTTTTTATGATTTTTGTCTTCCAGTTTCTAATAATTTTATTTATTCCTTTCTAGGTATTCAGTGACATCTTTCTAAATTGTTTAAAATGAGAAGCATTGCACACTGAGAGTCAGGATCCAAGTGTCTTTGACTGAGCCAACTCAGCTCTGCTATTAACTTATGGTGTGATCGCAGGCAAGTCACTTATTTTTCCTGATATTTAAAACAAAGAAATTGAACAAGGTAGTCTGTAAGGCATCATACCACTCTAATAGCCTGGGTATCCCTGGTGGAACTGCAGCATGCTGCCTCTCTCTGGGGTCAGGATTCAGCCATAGCCCCTGCTGTCAGTGAGGTCTTCTCCACTCTTAGATAGATTCTGCTCTTCGGAAAGATTTTTACCCAACTATTTTTGTCCTATTCATTAATTAACAATATAAATATATACTTTTAAATTAACAACTCCTCCAAAAACAGTGAACCATTAATAATAAAATTTTATAATCATCATAAAACCGTCCAGGGCATGGAAGATGGTGTAATAATTCACACCTAATTGCTTTCAACCTCGGGCCCACAAACACACTAGTTAGAGAAATGAATTCAGATACTGTAATTCATGCCAGGTCATGTTTTATTATTTAATTCATCCTCGATACTTGGAAAAAAAAAGACTTTGATGTTCAAACACTCCACAAACTCACCATGCCACCAACTCCATGGGGATCTAGAGAAATTCCTCATTTATCTATATCATGAGCCCCTTGGATGGAAATTCAACCTGAATCTTGGTGTTTTCTATAGCACACAGATTATTTTACTTAATAATAGAAATAACTTACATAATATAAACAATTACCTTAAGTACAAGATTAGAATACTGAGAAAATTCTTTGTTAAAGAAAAAAAGAGCAAAGGATGAGCAGTCCACAGTATGAGTAAAAATAGCAATTTAAAATCAAACTGTAGAACGATAGCAACGTATTTAACAGCACAAACTCTGGAGTCAGAGTACCTGTGTTTAAATCTCAGCTCCACCACTTACTTCTTGCATTTGACTCTTAGTAAGTTAATGTCTCTGAGCTCCAATTTCCTTATCTGTACAAAGGAAATGATAATAGTACCAGGTTGTTAGGAAGATTATATAAGTTGATATAAGTGTTTGGAAGAATGTCCAGTACTTAGTAAGTGAAGCATATAAGTTATTAGTAGTGTATTAGAAATCATGGCATCCTTCCTTAAAGGATTGTAAAGGTATGTGTGTGCTTCATGTGTATGGTAGCCTAGGTACTTATACATCGTCTACCCTGAGGACTGTTTGCAAATTTAACAGAGTTAATTAATCGAGGAGGGTTTAAGATACACTGAGGATTTTAGTATGAGTGAGGAAAAGAAGGAAGAATGGGGAAAAATTTTGTGTATTTTAATAATAAGTTAGCAGCATTCAAATGGATTTTTTAAAAAAAACTCAACAATTAGGCTTTTTCTTCTTGGATTGTTAGTGTGACATAAAGATTTCTGTTCATAAATCTCTATTAGAGATACACAGTGATTATTTTAATAAAAGAATACATTATGCAAGGAAAGAGAGACCCTTATACTGATTTTTTCTTGGGTACAAATGCATGGTTTGCTGTGTGAATGTCTAAACAGTGTTGCTGCACCTCTGGAGTGTTTTTCTGCCTCACAGTAACTAGGGCTGTCAGCTGAACCAAGACCCATAATGATTGAGAGCTTATCAAAACCAAAACGTTACATACATTTCTATGGGATTAGGTGGCCAACTTCTTTAGCAAATAATGAAAACTCAGAAAGGGCATCTGCTTGGATTTTGTATCACAAACTCTACATTTCTCTCTCAGTCCATCAGCTATTCAGGGTCAATTAATGTGTGTTTACCTTGCTTAACAGAAACTGTTCTCAGGCAAGAGACACTGCTTGCTTTCAACATGAAGTGTAAATCAGAGGCTGCGATGAACCATACAAAGAAAGCAACTCAATAATACTATCTAATGGAAAGCTCAAGGTTCTAATCCCAGCTGTCTTGCAGAAGGGCATTTAATTGTTCTAACTGTGATTTCCTCATCTGAAAAATAGAGATTGGATTAGATGACCTCTAATATTGGTTCAAAATAGTCTGTGTATTTTATTAGTTTCAGGAATCTCAAAGTGGATTTGTTAACAAGGATGTTTTAACTTAAGATGTTTGTGGATTTGGGGATATGTCTAGTACCCCTGCTTTTTTATATACTAATGGTGTCTAATTATTTTGTATATTAATTAAATATTTTTGAAGCAATTATTATCTTTCAGGCAGTCCATTACACAGTGGAAATATAACAGTTAAAGAAAAGTGATAAATACCCTGCTCTCAAAAAAAAAAGATGATCATTCATTTTTCCAATGAAAAGATACCAATCTGGGGAGTAAATTGAATGTATATATAAACTTTTGGGCTAATAGAGAAGAAAGCCAGTTGTCTATTCATGGTATTTATGCATTTATGATAACATTTGCAGTCCATCATATAAATAATGCTAATGTGGAAATAATATTTTATTCACTCTCACATTTCATAAAGCAATATTGGTCATGCTCTTTAGAAACATATTTGCCATTGGTGTCTTTGCCATCATCAGAGCCACTTTAATAGTTGTTATCACAGTTTGCCAGAGCATGTAATTTTTTCTCTCATCTAAATTGTTTGATTTACGTACTTTTTGAAGTGCATGTATATTATATGCTCCCCCTGGAAATTCTGTACTAAGCCACAGTTTCATAAACATGATCTCTGCATGCAAGGAAGTAATTTACTGTGCGCGTGTGTGTGTGCATGTGTGTGTGTTTGTGTGTGTGTGTGTTTAGCAGTTCTTAAAAAGGCTTATTTGCAGCAAGATCCAACACTTGCATTTGGGAGGTCATCCCCCAAGAACAGTGACAAACTGTGCTACAATTTTTAATTTTTTTAAAAAAGTTTCTTATTAATTCAGTTAGATATCCTCTATGAACTAGCATTGATTAAAGTAGATATGAGGTAAAGCAATTTCTTTATAAAAATAATCAGTTCTTCAAAAAAAGTTATTGAAATAATTCCTTCTGAGATACTCTAAAGAGATTCTTAAATAAGGTGATTCTTCCCCTTTTTTGAGAAGAACATATATGAAGCTTTGAGAGGGCACACATTCCCCAGGCTGTATCTGCAGATGAGAGCATGGGATGGGTGATAATAGATAAATCATTTTTATATTCTGTGTAAATCCTGACCTTAGAACTATTGGTCACTGGACACATTCACCTTATTGTAATAGCAGACATTTTAATAATACATCATACAACTTTTTTTTTTCTTTTCTTTTTCTTTTTTTGAGACAGTCTTGCTCTGTTGCCCAGGCTAGAGTGCAGTGGTGCAATCTCAGCTCATTGCAACCTCCGCCTCCCAGGTTCAAGCAATACTCGTGTCTCAGCCTCCCGAGTAGCTGGGATTACAGGCATGCACTACCACACCCAGCTAATTTTTGTATTTTTAGTAGAGACAGGGTTCCACCATGTTGGCCAGGCTGGTCTTGAACTCCTGACCTCAGGTGATCCACCCACCTCGACCTCCCAAAGTGCCAGGCTTTCAGGTGTGAGCCACCACACTTGGCCATAAAACTTTTCTTAATGTTGTATTCTCACAGACAATTAGAAGACAATGAGGATTGTTTGAAGTTTATGATATAGCTGTATTGTAAAAGCAACATTTTTTGTTTGTGAGAAAAGATGCTCACCAGAAATATGAGGCTTAGGAAAAACTACTACTAAGTGACTGAAATTATAGCTGCACAAAACAAGAAATGCCAGGGCAGAAATTAGAACCATGAGGCATTTTATTAATTATTGTGGAGACCAGTCACACAATTTACAACTTTTGTTTCCACCTGTTTTATGAGGTTCATTTCTGCCAGAATAAGAGTGATTTTTCCCAGGCAAAAGGCCTCTAATTGGTTGTAAATGAATCAATACCCATCAGTTTCACAAAAAAAGCATCCTAATCAGATTGGTTATCAATGGATTCTATCTTGCTGAATCTTTGTCTCCTTTAGCTTTGGAAGGAGACTAAACATTTTTAGCCAAACTGCGGTCTAGTCTGAAGCACTGCAATGCTTTATTGATCTGGATAGAGAAGAAAGTGCTCAGAGGAGACAAATTGGCCAAATATCTAAAGCACTGTTAAAAAGTTAGCTGATTTTAATGAAAATCTTCTAAACTATACACATACTTCCTTATCAAACAGAGTTTCTCAAAAATAAATGAATCTTTTTGTTGGGTCAGGATCACTATTTGATGGGCATCTATTACTGAAATAGCCCTGTCCCTGACTGGCTGATTTGGGTATTCTCATCTCATGCCATGGTACCAGCTGTCCCTTCTTACTGTAAGGGCATCTAGCAAAATTCCTCAGCTCTCTTGTTATCTGTGATCTGCTGGCAATTGTGGTGCTGTCATGTGCCAGGGAGAGTTTAATAATCATGCTTGGGAAGCAGTACTGGGGCAGAATTTTTTATCCTCACTGAGCTGCTTAGTTGCTGAGTCACTCTGAGCCAGTTTCTTTACTTCTTCAAGCCTCAGCGTCCTCATCTAAAAACATTAGGAATAATAATGCCTACTCTTCAGAGTTATAGTAAAGCTTAAATCAGATAAAAATAAGTTCTGAGGTCAGTATCTGGCATATAGTATTCTATTTCCATCTAAATGTTCCCAAGCTCCCCCTAATCAACAATAGTAAATGAATAAGCACTGTTTTCTCTCTCTTCTTGCAGAGGAAAAACTTTTTGGATAGCTACTTTTCAGTTCTTTTGATATGGCAAGCTGTAGATGAAGCTTTGGGGAGGGATGGTGAACAAGGCTGGCCTAGTTCCTGCCCTCATGGAGATTAGTGAGTCTATTATAGAAAACCGACATGAAACAAGTAATGACAGGGTACTGTGACCACATGTAAAGAGGAAACCTGTCTCGATATTGAAGGTCAGGAGAAACCTCCATGAGGATACCATCCAAGATGGGGCCAGAAGGATGACTAGGAGTGTGCTAGAAGGAGGGGCAGGAAAGTGTGCCAGACTGAAGGACAGACACACTTGTGTGAGGGCCTTGCAGTGGAAGACATGGTATATTTAAGGGCTTGGAATTTTAGGTGGGAGGAAGCAGGGATAAGATGAGGGTTGGGAGCTGGGATGAGGCAGGTGTGGTACACAGTCTAGACCTTGGGCACAAGGACAAGTTTTGGAACACATTCTAAGAGAGATGAGGGCCATGAATGGGCTTAAGCAAGGATGATAATCCAGAGGTTTGCAACCATTGGTAGAATATTGAAATCTTTCTATACTGCTGGATAAATAGCTAGACCCTGAGCCTCCTACTCCTTAACCCTTTCCCAAACCTTCCCTGCTCCTAGCTCCGCCAGAGGCCGGCAGGACCTTCTTGTATCTGTTTCAATTGTTCTGTGGCCAATACCACCTAGATTGCTAAATATATTAAATGCTATATCTGGCTTTAAGTAAGATTTCACCTCCTTATGTTTCTCCATTACTTATGCATTTACAGTTGTGTTCAGGATTGTTAAAGATGTCAGAAAGTATTATAATTTAATGCAGTTAAAATATTTGAATGGCCTTACAGCCATTTTTCTACCTCCTTTTTCCTAACCCACATTGTGAATTGAAGTTAACATGGAGTTCTATTGATTCTACTTCTGAAATGTCTCTTAAATGAATCCCTTTCTTATTATTACTGAGTGCATTCAGTCCCTTTCCTCTCTTCCTGTATTACTTTAATAATCCAGCAGCCCTTGCCTGGGCTCCATGTTTTTCTTCTCTCCCTGGCCCAAACCATTCTCTGCATGCTGTTGGTGTCCGGAACAGTGTCTAACACAAGAGTTGGTACTCTATAAATGTTTTTTGAATGAATGAATGAATGAATATGTGAACTGAGACCATGAACAAATGACACATACACAAATGGATACAAGTGGAAAAGCACAGCCAATTATTTGACATTAGTGCTTCCCAAAGTGTGACTTTGGAAGGTGCATGGACAAACATTTTTTATTTTATTAGTTATTCATATATTTTAACATGCATAAGAAAAATATTGATAAATACACTAAACTCATGTTTTATTGTTTAGAACAATGCTAAGTGAAAAATGGAGTCAGGTTAAAATTGATTGGAACATATTAAATAAAAAATAGTATAGTACCATTCAGATATAGCAAAAATGATGTAGATGTTACGCAATCACTGAAGTTTGAAAAAAAACTGGTCAACACAATATCTTGCGATGAAGTTTACTGATATTTTTGCCCCTTCCCTGAAGTAGAACTGACTTGGGAGAATTGTTAGGGTCAAGCAAGATCATGAATACATGGTTTACAGATTCTGATGGGCACTAGGGCTTCCCCATATAAGTCATGTTTAAAAAAATAACAAGAAAAAAAAAAGATAGCTTAGAGAATATATGCTACACAAGACTTTTGGGGTATAGTAAACAGTCTCAGGTAATTTCAACAAAGTTGAAAAACCTTTCCACAATCTGAGAAATATAAAACAGATGGAATTGTATCCCAAAAAGCTGAGTGCAGGGTGAAGTCATGGAAAGAGGATGGATTTTGTAGTTAGATGTGAGTTCAGACACTACCCTGTCTGCCCTGTCTGTCATTTATTTGCTGCTTGACCTTGGGCAAATACTTATGCTTCTTTGAGTTTCTTCACTAGTTAAATGTTTTCAGCAACCTGAATGGAATTGAAGACCATTATTCTAAGTGAAGTAACTCAGGAATGGAAAACCAAACATCATATGTTCTCACTCATAAGTGGAAGCTAAGCTATGAGGACACAAAGGCATAAGAATGATATAATGAACTTTGAGGATTCAGGGGAAAGGGTGGGAGGGGAGTGAGGGATAAAAGACTACACATTCGGTACAGTGTACACTGCTCGGGTGATGGCTGAACCTAAATCTCAGAAATCACCACAAAAGAACTTATTCATGTAACCAAACACTACTTGTTCCCCAAAAACCTATTGAAATAAATAAATAAATAAAGGCAAAGTAATTATGGCATTGGCAGGAATACAAGAATTAACATAGATACACAGGTTAGCACAGTTTTTGGCTTATAGTTGGCATTTCATAAATGCAGCCTCTCATTTCAACCCTCTTAAATATAATCTATTTAAAAATAAAATAAGAGTAAAAATAAAGTTAAATAAAACCAGATTTTGATAGCATCATGTTTTTTTCTCTCTAAAAAACAAAAACAAAAACAATTAGAAAAATCCTGATGGAAGAAAAGTAATTTTCAATAGCACTGAACTATTCCCCTGAGCCTTTAAAAACTCTCATATTGAAATGAATGAATATGCAAGTGTCACTTATTGATGGCCTCCTCCCATAGGCAGTGAATTGCTTTGAAATCATGTGGAGGTAATTGTAAAAGGAAGTTGTATGCATACAATTACTTCTCTGGTGCAATAAAGATCATAAATCAGTTCACAAGCAATTCATCTGCAACTTCTTCAGTTTCACTGATTTCATAGATTACAACCAAAAATAAGCTGAGAATGAAGAATCAAAAGGCAATGGAGAGACTCTGAGCGTCTAATCTTACATGCAACTCTCTTTGTGATGGAGCCTGGATGAGGTTGAGAGAAGGCAGTAACAATTTTAGGAGGCCTAGTATGACACCAGCTCTTCCTGGCTCTTCCTTGTTTCTTGAGAAGACAGATTTGATTTCACTGACGGAAGCTGTTCCTTACCTATTTGCCATGCCTCCCACTGTATTCCTGTTGGCTCAGGGTGGTCTAGCAACTATAACCACTGATACTTGGGCTGGGGACTGGATGTAATTATTCTGACCTTTAGAAGCAACTCTAGCTTGAAAGGGTTAGAATATAACATTATGAAAACCCCTCAGAGATTTGTGGGTAAGAATTTTGTCTATAATGACAAGCTCCTCTGGTTTGTCTCAAAGAGAGTAACTAGAAGTAGAAAGGTATCTTCCTTTATTTACCTTTGAATTCTTAAGTGGCAATATAACACCTCACTTTGTCCTTAGAAGGATCCAACTGCTGAAAAGTCTTCCAGATACTTCCTTCTCAGTGGTGCCTTTAGACAGTCATGGCAGGAATATTGATCGGGAATAGCCTAATGAAATATTAGTGCCAGTGAATGTGTTGCAGAAAGAGCAAATCCCGTCTGTGAGAGTTATATTGGTGAAGAATTGGGCCCATTAGGGGCCTTGTTGAGTATTCAGCAGAGACAATTCTTGCTTTATAAAATATGCTTTGGTTTGCCTTATGGAAAATTTATTGTTCATTCATTTGATGTACTCCTTTAAGAGGTCAACTTTGACTTGCAGTGCTCTCAGAATTTATTCTTCACTCCATTGTTCCTTGCAAACCATCCTTATTGAATTTCTTTATGCATTTGAGTTGTCAAATAGCCAGTGCACTCTCTAAACTGCTCTATGCAATTAATAGATATTTTTTTGATTGGGGCAGGATGAAAATCAGGGTTAGTACATATAAGGCAAATTAATTAGCCTATGGTGTTTTCAGAAATAGAACTTGCTAAAGCCAGTGTTCCCATACCTGTATAGGTCAACTAACTGGGGAATTGTTGAATCATCAGGACTATACTACTATGAAAATAACGGATGTCCATGAAAATGTTCAGGCTCTGCTCTTTTTGTGGTGGGACTGAGAGCTTTTTGGTAGGAGTGCATTTCAGTAACTAGGAAACATATAAGAAGGAAAGAGATCTTTGATGCCATGTCATAATTAGGCTCTATTTGATAATCTGTGGCATGGCTAGTCGATATATTAATTTTAATTCTAATGATAAAACCAGATTATTTTAGCCACATGGTTACCTGAAATAGCCTAGAAATCCTTGAAAAAACATGCCATTCCACAGCATCCAAAACTGACCTTAGGAAAAATTGCGGTTTAATGTTGGTTCCTTCACCTTAAAATAGGGATAGCTGTTAATACTGTGGTTCAGAATGAGTTTTTCCATTGATTCTATGTGATGGCATATGATTAGTAGTTCTTATTTTCCAGCTGAAGTACCTGATTCAAGTAAAATGAGTTAGAGTTACCCAAACTAAGGATCCAATACAGAAGTATAGATAAAAGGTTCTACTTTTAGGTTAGTTAATAAGGCTTTTCTACAATCTTGGCCTGGTTGACTTTTCAATTTGATTATGTTCTTTCCCCCATTTTTACTGTGCCAAAATATTTCTAGTTCCCCAAATTTATCAAGTCATTTTGCTATATACATTCTTTTTGCCTAGAATATTTTGTCTGTCTTCTCCTTCAGTGTTCCCAAACCAATGCCTATATGAAACAATTCTTTTTATTATTATTAATTTTGTTTTATTGTGGTAAGACTATAGCATGAGATATATTATCTTAAAATTCTAAATGTACAATACAGTATTGTTGACTATAGGTACAATGTTGTATAGCAGATCTCTAGAACTTATTTATTTTGTTTACATAAAATGATTCTTGACCATCTCTCAATCTCCAGTACAACTGACCATTTTTTCTTTGTAAACCCGTTGTAGCCAGCTCTAATCTCTCAGCATAATTACAATACAACTGTACATATTGATTATATATCTGTCTCCTTTCACAAATTATTGAATCTTGAGGCCAGAGATTATATATAATTTATCTTTTTATTCTCAGCACTTATACATAGCCTGACATAATGAATAAAAAAATGAATGAGTGAATGAATAAATAAAATCCAATGAGTGAACATTAGCCTGATAATTCAAAGCAGAAACAGCAAACGTATGACCCAAGTGGTACACTCTCCCTTTTTGTATGGAGAACAGACTTTTCCCATTAGCAAAGGTCTAATTGGATTAGGCCACTGAGTCTACATCTAGGCAGTCTAAGCCTTCTGAACTTAGCTTTTTGCTAGTACAGTCATAATATCTTGTGAAGTTATTTAGAACAGTGGTATCTTAACATTGTAAAATTATAATAAGGAGTAACTCTATTAGGAAAAATAACTGGAGGGGGGGGCACATCTTTGATGGATAGCTCTGTGTACCACTGTATGCTACATGTGGAGGCTGACCCATATGGACTGCATCAGTGGGCTCTTATGTCCTCTGAATTCCAATTGGGTTTGGCAGGAAACCTGGAGGATAGGAGAGAGTGAGGCCAGGGTACTTTTTTCCCTGGCTTATCTGGGTCCCTTACCAAAGGCCACAAGTCCTGTTAGATGGCCCTCTCTGTAACTCTGTCTTTGGTTTGGGTGTCCACTCCCTCCTTATGCCCCTCCCTGCCATTACTTGTCCTGTATGCCCTGTCTCTTGTTGCTTTTACTATATTTCGGTGCTCCAAACTTTTGTCAATTGTTCCTATATGAAACTTGCCTTGGTTTATTCAATCTGAGGATACCTTCTTTTTGTTGCTGACAACCTGACTGATATCCCTCCAATACATGCATAATTTTTAATGCTATAGATATAGTTATATCTATATCATTATATTAGATATATACATATGTGTGTATATATATACATATATATATACACACACATATATATATATGTTCTAGTTGCCATCCACATGTGAGATACTAGTAAAACTCAATTTTTCTTAGTTTTTGGAGGGGATGAAGTTTATTTTCGTCCTTTTTTAAAATATATTTTGGGTTCACAGGTACACATGCAGGTTTATTATATAGGTAAATTGCATGTCATGGAGATTTGGTGTGCAGATAATTTCATCACCCAGATAATAAACATTGTACCTGACAGAGAGTTTTTTGATTCTTTCCCTCATCCCGCCTGCCACCCTCAAGCAAGCCCCAGTTTCTGTTGTTCCCTTCTTTGTGTCCATGTGAACTCAATATTTAGCTCCCACTTAAGCATCTTCCTTCTATAGCCTAGTTGATCATTTCGTATTCTCATACTTTGGAAACCACTGATTTAGAAATGAATTATCCAAGTCTTCCTATCAGGTTTTATAGAATAAGGCTCTGTTCAGTGTGGTTTTGAAGGCACAAGAGCAGGTACTGGTTTCTGCAGGATTTATGTACTTACAGAAAAAACTACACATGTGGAGTGTGCATACTACTATTGACTTACCCATTTCTCTCAGGACCTCGGGGCCAATGCAGCCATTGCTGGACACAGAATATTAGCATCATTCAGGCTCCCAGGCAGCCAGCAAAGTGGACCTGGAGAATATTAGGATGGGAACAAATAATGCTTGAATTGCAGTCTCTCATTTCCAAGAAATTTGTTTTTAACTAATGAATGAAGGTATCACAAACCTTTGACTCTGAGACTTTTAATTCTTCATTCTTTACTGAAGAATGTTTCTAGCCCCCTTCCCCAACCCAAATCAAAATCCATGTTCTAGCGATGCCAATGGATAGAATTTGCAAGCAGTCTAACTCTGACTTAGGCTTAATTGTATTTTAAAAAGGAATCCTCTCTACACAGGATTAGAAACACTGAACCCTAGTTTTATTATTTTTGTTGTCCTAATTGTGGACATTTTCAGACAAATGTTTACATCTCCTCTGTATTGGTATACTAACCACAGTCATATCTTATGTCAACTAAAACATTTCTTTCAAGGCCCTCATATGCACTACAAATATTATTTCATTAAACAACATTACAAATAGAACTAGTCTCACTAACAACTGTTTTTGTTAATTTTCAGTACAGAACTAAACATTTTATGAATCTTAATAGCTCATAACCTCTTGACTTCCAGAGATAGTAAATTTTTTCCCTTGTGATGAAGACCATATTTCTTATCATTTTGATTAAGATCTTAAATAAATATAATGATGAATGGAAATATTTTGAGAAACAGTCTCCCTTCTCCCTGCATTGTGAGAGTATGCAGTTTATAAACTGCTGTCAATATATATATATTTTTAAAGACAGGGAGAGACAGCCCCATTGTTTAGGCTGTTATGAGTCACCTTGCTCTGACACAGTTTCTAATTTGGGGGAAGGAAAGACGAGAATCCAGAGTAATACAACTTTTTTTTAAAAACTTTTATTATAGGCTCAGGGTTACATGTGCAGGATTGTTACATAGGTAAACTCATGTCATGGGGGTTTGTTGTACAGATTATTTCATCACCCAGGTACTAAGCCTAGTACACAATAGTTATGCTTTCTGATCCTCTCCCTTTTCCCACCCTCTGTCCTCAAGTAGACCCCAGTGTTTAATACACTAGTAAGTAGTGAATTAGCAGAGTAAACTGTGTTGAAATACAAAGTTATTCAATACCAACCCACCTAGTTAAAGCAAAAACGGCTTTGAATTTTGGAGAAAATAAAAAATATTAAAAATGACCAGGTAGAAAGAGAAAATTACTCCTGTTACACACAGAAGGTGTTCTGCCTCTCTCAGATCTTCAGGGGTCCTTGTTTAGGATTTGGCTGTAGGAAATTAAACTCTATGGCAGGCATCTGATCTTTTGGTACCCAATATTAGTATCATAAATACTAATAGAATATTAGATATTGAAGGGATACTTTTAATTCTCATTTTTTTTTTTGTTTGCCAGTGAATAGACTGAGGATTAAAGATTTTGGGGTGAAAAAAATTTTTTAAAAAATAAAGATTTTTGTTGATTTCCTCAAGAAACTGGAGAACTAAGGCTATGGTCCACATCTGCTGACCCCTGATTCAATGTTGTTTCTACTAGACTAATCGCATTCAAAATGTTAAGTTTATGTTTTAAAGATGGAAATATCTGCAAAATTGTTTTATTCTGAATGTTTTAGTTTGCAGCGAGGAAACATGCTTAAATTGTATAAGAACTGAATGGCATAATAAGAACAAAATAAAAACTGTGTGATTCCTAGTCTAGTACTTTTTCCATGACATGAGAATTTGTGCATATGCCATATACTATGTTAGGTACTGAAGACACAAAGACAAACACTGTAAGAGCTTTTCCTTTTGAAAGGAACTCAGTATAGAAAATGTGTGTTTTCCTACATTTCCATATATATATTCAAGCTAAACAACAGAAGCTGAAAGAGCATAAAACACAAAGTGGTACATGACTTTGTAGACAGTAGTAAAATGTCTTATGTGAGAAATACAATTCCAGTTTGTGAGATGTGAGTTCCATGTTGGCAGGGACTGTTTCTGTCTTGTTTATTGCTGCAGCCCCCATTATAGGCCTGGCACACAGTGAGAGCTTAATAAATGTTGAATAAATGAATGAATGAATAACTGCCTGGCTTATAGTAGATGTTCAGTAAATGTTGCATGAATAAATGAATGAATCTACATCTGCCATGTTCTTAGGGATTCTTCAGAATTTGCAATGGTGACCCCTAGAGATGACAGTTCTTAATGATTCTTTTATTTCTGAAGACAAGCTAATTCTGTAGTGTGGTGGCCTCTGGAGGATTTAAAGTTCCTTGAGTTTGAATCCTCTATTGCAGTAGAGATTGGCAAGTAACTATTTTCCCTTTCCTCCTGGGCACATAGCTAGAATACATTTCCCAAATATTTTTAGAGTTGGACACATCCACATGACTGAGTTCTGGCCAATGAAACGTGGACAGCAATGATGCATCCCACTCCAGGTCTAGCACTTAAAAACCTCCTATGCAATCCTCTACTATCTCCTATCTTTCTGCTGTCCAGAACCTTATTATCAGATGGAGAAATACAGTCAAGGCCTCTGAAGCTCTGGGAAAAGAGCTGCAGGATTAAAAAAAAACCTGTGTTCATGAATTAACTAGTGGCAGACCATTTACCAAACACCTTCATTGAATTGATATGTGAATAAGACAAACTTCTGTCTTATTCTAGCTGTGCAACTTTGGATACATTTTAGTCACCTGAGCCTCTGTTTTCCTACTTGAAAATGGGGTTTGTCATGTAACCTGTCTCTTTGTGATATGATGAGATGTATCAATGCAAAACCCTTAACGAAGTACAGGGATCATGATATGCACTTGATACATGTCAGCTATTCTTACATGATGTTTATCATTTCCAGTTTGACAGGGGCCAAAGAACAGTAATTTTTAAAGATGCCTCAAAGACCATTATGTATTTTCTCTCTCTTTATCTTTTGGCTACTGAGGCATATAAATAATCCTCCAGAACCTTGTGTCAATGAGTTTCAAAAATTTTTTAGAACTAGAACTCTTATTATTTTTTCCAGTATGTTCATATATATACATATATAGATGGATGCCCAGTGATATATGTAGAACTGTCCTGGTTGTAGGATATCCCTCACTACACCTGCTTAGCCTTTTCCTGGACCTTGTGCTAGGCACTCTACAGAATCCTTAGGCTAGATGGGACATAATTGGAATACCACTGCCTTGAGTAAATACTATGGAGGAAATGCAATATTATACAATTACCTTAATGCAATGCCCTTATCCATTCTCCCTGCAACTGACAACATTCTCACTAACTCCATATTTCTCCCACTGCCTCTCCCTATGTCTTCAGTGCAGTAGTCTGCATGGCCAGGGGGCTGTGGTAAGTAAGGACTTCTTTCTTTTTCATTTAAAGTAGATTGGTGGCTCTTTTCAATAGACTATTAGAGGAGTAACTGCTTTGTATGATTTACAGGGACTCTGAACTTTGACTCTCTGCTGTATGATATATGGCTGGCTTGAAGCTCTGGGGTCAAGGGTTACAAGTAATGAATTTATGGCTAGATTCTGCCTCCTCTCACTTTAAAAAGAGATGGTATATTTGAAACATTAAGTTATAAATAATTTTCTTCCAGAAATGATTTAAGAGAAGATACACTAGATTGATATTTTCCAAACCCAATCAAACTATTTTTATATATTTGCCATGGCCTCAGGAGTGATTGAAGGGAGGACTTAGGGTGAAGAATAGACCAAAGCTACAACCACTGGTACTCTGTTTTGGATCCGGGGAAAGAAACGACAGAAGGAGGTAAAATTTTTAACTTTCCAGGGCCTAGGTACATGGTTAGGAAATATTGTCAATCTTTAAAAGTATTAGAAGACAGTGATAGGCAGAAATATACAGAATACGACTGTAAGAGAAAATATTTAAAAGAAACTGCTGTCTTGGTGATTGTAATCATCATGACCTATGAGAAGTGAAACTATGCTACTTCACCTAAAATCATTCTATGGTAGACATAAATATCCATGAGAAGACATGAATGACCTCTCAAATTATATTGAAGATGTTAATAGGCTAGTATTAAAGCTTTGCTTTTGAAGCTAAGGCCAAAGCAAGCAGAGTGCCTTTTAGAAGTTTATGGTTCTCAAAATAAGTTTCAAATTAAACTTGGAGTCAGGGATCATTATTCTGTGGACCATGATGCTCAGATGCCCACCTCTTTCCTTTCTTCCTAAGGTCTTGATCAGCTCACTCATTTCTTCCTTGAAAAAAAACAAAACAAAACAGATGATTATCAGTGGTTCCCATTGGTCCTTGGTTAGAATGCCTTAACCACTCACTTGCCCCTATAAATATAATAATGACAATTGGATTGTTTTTACTATGTGCCAGCTGCTGTGCTAGGCACCAGGCATATATTATTTTTATCTAATCCTTACTCTAATCTCATGAGACAGTAGCATTCACTTTACAGATGAATTTGAGTCTCAGAGGGTACCCCAGCTAATAGGAGGAAAGCCAGGATTTGAACTCAATTCTGTTGTAGAGTCTGTGCTCTTCCTAACAATTTACCCTGCCTCTGACAGCCATCCTTGGCAAAGGTGTCACCCGCCTCAACACAGAGTTCCATAAAACTGCATGTCACTTTGTTAAGCCTCTTGAAAGTCCCCTCATTAGAAATGTATTAAATATATAATTGGCATTCTTTACTAAAATGAATTCACCTCAAAGCAGGTTAATGGGACATAGTATAAATTGGTTAAATTAGGTTGCTTTCTTTCTAAGGCTTGACTGAGATCAAAATACTGAAGAAATGGGATGTGTGAAAGGGGATTGTGATTGCAGGAGAGATCTTTATGGCACTTGGGAAAATTTATGTGAATTATGCATCTCAGTGACATGCAGCAGTTGTGAGTGGGAGTGGACTTTGGGTAGCAGGACAGCAGCACAGGGGTCCAGTGGGTAACTATGAAGGGACATCAGAAGGTAGACAGGGGTGCAACAAAAAGGAGATAAGTGGGGCACAAAGACAAACTTCATTCATTTTGTTTTCCCAACTTCCAATCTATTTGCACTGTGTAGAGGGAATGGGTGAGATTGAAGTTTTCTCTGGAGGCCATTTTACTATGTAATTCCCATCCTATCACACAGATAGCCTTGCATAGCTAGATTCTAATTTTTCCCCTTAGTCTACTCATATATCGTTATTCAATGAAGTAATAATGTTAAAAGCAAGACAATCCATAATGCACTTTCAATAAAACTCTGAAAAACAGTCATTGATCTTTCCTTATGTCGGTTACCTACCCCCAGCTCCCTTATTGCTCTCATTGTAGAGGTGGTTAAATGACCAAAGATACTTAATATGTAAGTTATGAAACATTTCCACTTCCTTATTTACCACTTAATGGTCATTAAAAGAGTAGGAACATCATCCTTTTCCAGGTGATGTAAGATGGATCCTGGCTTGAATAGAGTACTCATTTATCAATAATCAATTACTCAGTTAACCATTAAAGATAATAATCATTTCCACCACACTTACAATAAAATGCTGCAAACGTCAATGAATCATTATTTTACCCTAGGGCAGACCTTAAATCAATTTCTTATTACCATTCATTTTACCTTTGCAATTGTGATGGACATTCGAAGGGCCAGAACATTAGGAAATCCTCAAATGGCTGAAGGACAGGGAGGAGGGAAGTCTGGAGGTGCAATTTATGGGAACACTATGAATTTTATTCAGGGATAACATCCAGGTTGTTTTGACCCACAGTTTTGCCTTGGGTTTCAGGTTCATTCCCATGCTTTCTCATTGCCTACAGGAATCTCAATTGTGGATCTCCAATTGCAATTTGTTCAGATCTCCCTGGTTGCTTTTCTACTATGTTTCCCAAATTTAGTTCAATTTTACATTGCATTAAGTGCGTGGGGTGGCAGCTGGAATACTGGTAAAATCATATAGTGGAGGTATAATACAATATCACCCCTCAAATTCTTCCCATTACTCTCAGAATAAAGTAAAAATTCCTTAACAAGACTCACAGGGCCCTGAACAGTCTGGTCCCTACAGATCTCACACATCATTCCCTGTTCCTCTCTTGACTTTAGTGAACTTGGCCTTCTTTTAGTTCCTTGTACTCCATGCAATCTCCCCTGCCACAGAGCATTTGCACATCCTGTTCCTTTAGCACATAAGGCCACCTGCTCCCTGCCCCCATTTTCACCCACTTAACATCCATTCTTCCTTCATTTTTAAGTTCAAGGCTTATTGCTCCTGGGAAGCCTTCCCTGATCTGCCAAAACCCTGTTGTATGCTCTCAGAATACCATTTCCTTTTCAGTCATGTCACATTTCACAGCTTTGGTTTTTACCATGTGATTGACTGGTTGTTTGAGCTATGTAGCCTTTGTCTCCTAACAAACTCTGAGCTCTCTTTGGGTAGGATTGTGTTTAATTGTGCTCATGATTGTATCTCAAGAGCTTAGGATGGTTCCTGGCACATGGTAAGCTTTCAATAAATGTCTAGTAAACAAATCAGGAGTCAATTAAGGAATGATCCAGAAAAACATGATTAAGATCAGAGTGTAGGAGATATTGATAGCAGCTGTGAGGAGAGTTTGCTGGTCCTTATGGAGTGATAATAACATTGTAAGTTCATTTAAAGTTATGAAGTTCCACTGATGCAATTATTTCCTACTTGACTTTTTATTTTCCTAACAAGACCCAAGCTTCTCCCATCCTGGTTCCATTCTCTTTCAAAGATCTCTGTGGCCTGTGTTGTTCCCCACAACCATCTGGCATTTTTTCCTCTATCAATGGAGACATCTACAGTTTCCTTGGATTTATGACTGTTCCACATTTTTGTGCCTTCTGAGGACCTCTCAAACACACCTATGCAACAAATCTCCTTCCCACAATAATCTCTGATATAAATGAGGAGATGGATCTTCAATCAAGTCTACTGGTGAATAAAACATTTCATAGAGCCACTTGAACATGGAGAAGATATGTTAAGGTGATTATCTTGAGTCCCGTTGTTTGAGAAAATGTATCTATTTTCAACACCAGTTTTCACTGCATCTGAGCTCGTGATTTAATTTAGAATTATTAATAACCTACCTCTTCCAACTGACTGAGAAAAGGACAACTTGGATTTGAAAGCAGCTCATGGTTTTATTGAGAGCTTGTCTGGGTAAAACACAGGCTACACATCTTTTATTTTTTATTTTTATTATACTTTAAGTTCTGGGATACACGTGCAGAACATGCAGGTTTCTTACATAGGTATACTTGTGCCATGTGGTTTGCTGCACCCGTCAACCTGTCATCTACATTAGGTATTTCTCCTAATGCTATCCCTCCCCTAGTCCCCCACCCCACAACAGGCCCTGGTGTGTGATGTTCCCCTCCCTGTGTCCATGTGTTCTCATTGTTCAACTCCCACTTATGAGTGAGAACATGCAGTGTTTGGTTTTCTGTTCTTGGCTACACAACTTTTAATAGTCCTGGGACATTTTAGTGTAAGCCTGATAATTATAAATGATTTTTAAAAGAAAGATAATAGTAAAAATAAATAATCACAAAGCACAAAAATGTAATTTCAAGAGAAACTGTAGAGGAGAAAGAAGACAGAAAGACTTAAAAAATTTATATTCGGGGGGTCCATGTGCAGGTTACATGGATATGTCACATAATGTTGAGGTTTGGGCTTCTAGTATACCCATCACTCAAATAGTGAACATTTTACCCAATAGGTAATTTTTTAAACCCCCACTGCTCTCCCATCCTCCCCCATTTTGGGGTGCCCAGTATAATTTTTTCCATTTTTATGTCCATATGTACCCATTATTTAGCTCTCACTTATAATGGGAGAGAATATTTGGTATTTGATTTTCTGTTTCTGAGTTATATCACTTATAATGGACTCCAGCTCCATCCATGTTGCTGCAAAGGACATGATTTCATTTTTTTTGTTGTTTTTGTTTTTTGGCTGCATAGTGATTTCACGATGTGTATATACAACATTCCCTTTGTTGAATCAACCCTTGATGGAAACTTAGGTTGATTCCATGACTTTGCTATTGTGACTAGTGTTGCAATCAACACACAAGTGCAGGTGTCTTTTTTATATAATGATTTCTTTTCCTTTGGGTACATGCCTAGTAGTGGGATTGCTGGGTTGAATAATAGTTCCATTTTTAGTTCTTTGAGAAATCTCCTTACTGTTTTCCATAGAGGTTGTACTACTTTACATTTTCACCAACAGTATATAAGGGTTCTCTTTTTACCACATCCATGCCAGCATGTGTTGGTTTTTGACTTTTTAGTAATAGCCATTCTAACTGGTGTAAGATAATATCTCCTTGTGGTTTTACTTTGCATAACTCTGATGATTAGTGATATTGAGACTTTTTTTGTTTGTTGGTCACTTGTATGTGTTCTTTTGAGAAATGTCTGTTCATGTCCTTTACCCACTTTTTAATGGGATTGTTTCTTTTTCTTGTTGAGTTGTTTGAGTTCATGGTAGAATCTGGATATTAGTCCTTTGTCAGAGGTATAATTTGCAAACATTTTCTCCCATTCTGTAGGTTGTCTGTTTACTCTATTGATTGTTTCTTTTGCTATGCAGTAGCTTGTTTAATTAAGTCTCATTTGTCTATTTTTGATGTTTGTATTGCATTTACTTTTGAGGTGTTAGTCATAAATTATTTGCTAAGACCTATGTCCAGAAGAGTTCTTTTTTTCTAGGTTTTCTTCTATGATGTTTAGAGTTTCAGGTCTTACACTGAAGTCTTTAATCTATTTTGAACTAATTTTTGCATATGGT
The DNA here is from genome assembly GCF_000001405.40 of Homo sapiens. Classification (NCBI taxonomy): domain Eukaryota; kingdom Metazoa; phylum Chordata; class Mammalia; order Primates; family Hominidae; genus Homo; species Homo sapiens. Next base: position 84,264,393 of record NC_000004.12, on the reverse strand, counting down.
GAGAGACAGGAATCAGGTTTCATTTTTCTTCATCTGGCTAGCCAATTTTCTCAGAACCATTTATTAAATAGGGTGTCCTTTTCCCATTGTTTATTTTTGTCAAATTTGTCAAAGATCATCAGTTGGTTGTAAGTATGTGGCTTTATTTTTGGATTCTCTATTCTGTTCCATTGATCTATGTGTCTATTTTTGAACTAGTACCATGTTGTCTTAGTTACTAGAGGCTTGTAATATAATTTGAAGTCAGATAATGTGATGCCTCTGGATTTGTTCTTTTTGCTTGGGATTGCTTTGGCTATTTGGGCTCTTTTTTGTTTCATACGAAATTTAGAATTGTTTTCTCTAATTTTTTGAAGAATGATGTTGGTAATTTGATAGGACTTGCATTGAATCTATAGATTGATTTGGGTAGTATGGTCATTTTAACAATATGGACACTTCTTATCCATAAGCATGGGATTTAAAGAAAATTTGTTTCTGTTATCTATGAATTTTTGTCAGTGTTTTGTAGTTCTCCTTGTAGAGGTCTTTTACTTCTTTGGTTAACTGTATTCCTAGGTAATTTTTTCTTTTTGTAGCTATTGTAAATAAAATTGAGTTTTTGATTTGGTTCTCAGCTTGGGCATTATTGGTGTATAGATATGCTACTGACTTTTGTACATTAATTTTGTGTCTTGAAATTTTGTTGAAGTCATTTATCAAGTCTAGAAGTCTTTTGGAGGAGTATTTAGGGCTTTAAGTCATCAGTGAACAGAGCTAATTTTACTTCCTCTTTTCTAATTTGGATGCCTTTTATGTCTTTCTCATGCATGATTACTCTGGCTAGGACTTCTAGTACTATGTTGAATAGGAGTGGTGAGAGTAAAATCCTTATGTTGTTCCAGTTCTTAGAGGGAATGCTTTCAACTCCTTCCTATTCAGTGTAATATTGGCTGTGGGTTTGTCATATATGGCTTTTATTATCTTGAGGTATGTTCTTTCAATATCTAGTTTGTTGAGGGTTTTTATCATGAAGAAAAGTCAGATTTTATCGAGTGTTTTTTCTGTATCTATTGTGATAAGCTTGTGGTTTTTGTTTTTAATTCTGTTAATGTGATTGATATGGTTTGGCTGTGTCCCCACCCAAATCTCATCTTGAATTGTAGTTCTGGCAATCCCCACGTGCCATGGGAGGGATCCAGTAGGAGGTAATTGAATCATGGTGGCAGTTACCACTATGCTGTTCTCATGATAGTGAGTGGGTTCTCATGAGATCTGATGGTTTTATAAAGGGCTTTCCCCCCATTTGCTCTGCACTTGTTTTTTCTGCCGCCATTTGAAGAAAAAAGTGTTTGCTTCCCCTTCCACCATGATTGTAAATTTCCTGTGGCCTCTCCAGCCATGCTGAACTGTGAGTCAATTAAGCCTCTTTGCTTTATATTGCACCCAGTTTCAGATATGTCTGTATTAGCAGCATGATAACTGACTAAAACAGTGATCAATTCCATTTTTTGCAAATGTTGACTTATCCTTGCATTCCTGCAAACCTACTTATCAAGATGGACTGTCTTTTTGATGTGCAATTGGATTAGTTTGCTAGTATTTTGTTCAGGAGTTTCACATCTATATTCATTAGGAATATTGGCCTGCAGTTTTCATTTTTTGTTGTTGTTCTGTCCCTGCCTGATTTTCATATCAGGGTAATACTGGTTTCATACAATGAGTTAGGGAGAAATCCCTCCTCCTCAATCTTTTGTAATAGTTTCATTTAGATTGGTACCAGCTCTTTGTATGTCTGGTAAAATTTGGCTGTGTATTTGTCTAGTCCTGGGTTGAAAGATTTTTTTTAACTGATTCAGTTTTGTTTCTCATTATTGGTCTGTTCAAGATTTCTATTTCTTTCTAGTTCAATCCTGAGAGGTTGTATTAGTCCGTTTTTATGCTGCTGATAAAGGGATACCCAAGACTGGGCAATTTACAAAAGAAAGAGGTTTAATTGGACTTACAGTTCCACGTAGCTGGGGAAGCCTCACAATCATGGTAGAAGGCAAGAAAGACCAAGTCGTGTCTTTCATGGCTAGCAGCAGGCAAAGAGAGAGAGCTTGTGCAGGGGAACTCCTCTTTTTAAAACCATCAGATCTCATGAGACTTATTCACTTTCAAGAGAACAGCATGGGAAAGACTTGCCCCCATGATTCAATGACCTCCCATCAAATCCCTCCCAAGATGAGATTTGGGTGGGGGGGGACACAGCCAAACCATATCAGAGGTTGTATGTTTCAGGAATTTATCCATTTCTTCTAGGTTTTCTAGTTTGTACATATAGAGATGTTCATAGTAATCTCTGATTATCTTTTGAATTTCTATGGTATCAGTAATAAAGTCACCTTTATTATTTCTAATTGTGTTTATTTGAATCTCTTTTTTTTATTAAATTAGCTAGAAGTTATTAAATTTTGTTTACTCTTTCAAAGAGCCAACTTTTCTTTTAATTGATCTTTTGTATCTTTTTTGTTTTGTTTTGATTTATTTTGGTCTCAGTCTCATTTAGTTCTGCTCTGATCTTTTTCTTTTCTTCTGCTAGACTTGAGTTTGGTTTTATTATTGTTTTCTATTTCCTTGAGGTGTGATGTGAAGTTATAATATGAGATCTTTCCATCTTTTTTGATATAGGCATTTTATGCTATAAACTTTCAGCACTGTGTTTACGGTATCCCAGAGATTTTGATATGTTGTTTCTCTATTTACACTCACTTCAAAACATTTCTTAAATTTTTGTCTTATTTCATTGTTTACCCAAATGTGATTCAGAAGCAGGTTATCAGTTTCCATGTAATTACTTACTTTTCAGAGTTCCTCTTGGTATTGATTTCTAATTTTATTCCACTGTGATCTGAGAAGATACTTGATATCATTTTAATTTTTTAAATGTATTGAGACTTGCTTTAGAGCCAAATATTGGTGGATTTTGGAGAATATTTTATATGCAAATGAGAAAAATGTATACTCTGCAATTATTAGGTAGAATGTCCTGTAAATATCTATTAAGTTCATTCGGTCTAGAGTCCAGTTTACATCCAGTTTTCCTTGTTGACTTTCTACCTTGATGATCTGTCTAGTGTTATCAGTGGGGTGTCCCCCACTATTATCGTATTGATATCAGTCTCTTTTCTTTGGTCTAACAGTATTTTTTTTATGGATCTGGGTGCTCTGGTGTTGGGTGCATATATATTTAGGCTAGTGAAATCTTCTTGTTATATTAAACCCTTTGCCAATATATAATGCCCTTTAATGCCATTTTTAAAAAACTATTATTGCTTTAAAGTCTGTTTTATATAAGAATGGCTACTTCTGCTTACTTTGGTTTTCCATTTGTGTGATATATCTTTTTTTTATTTATTTACTTTGAGTCTGAGTCAGCTTTAGCCATTAGGTGGTTCTTTTGTAGGCAACAGATGATTGAGCTTTGTTTTTTAAAGTCTAGTCTATATCTTTTAAGTGGAGCATTTAGGTGATTTATGTTCAAGGTTAACATTGATATATGAGGTTTTGTTTCTGTATAATATTGTTAGCTATTTGCCTTGGAGTCTCAATTGTGTAATTGCTTCACAGGATGGTGAAGCACTTTCTTGATGGTGATTATTGTCCTTTGGTTTCTGTGTTTAGAACTCCTTTGAGCATTTCTTATAGGGTTGGTTTAGTTGTGACAAATTCCCTTAGTGTTTGCTTGTCTGGGAAAGATTTTATTTCTTCATTTATGAAGCTTAGTTTGGCAGGATATAAAATTCTGGACTAGTACTTTTGTTTTTCTTTAAGGAGGCTAAAAACAGGCCCTTGGTCTCTGTTGGCTTGTATGGTTTCTGCTGAGAAGTCTGCTGTTTGTCTGATGGGGTTTCCTATATAAGTAATTTGATGCTTCTCTCTAGCTGCTTTTAAGATCTGTTCTTTCATGTTGACCTTGGATAGTCTGATGACTATATGCCTTGATGATGTTCATCTTGTATAATATCTTCCAAGTGTTCTCTGAATTTTATGTATCTGGATGCCTATTTCTCTAGCAAGACTGAGGAAATTTTCCTGATTTCCTCATATATGTTTCCCAAACTTCTTATTTTTTCTTCTTCCTCTTAAGAATGTCAATAAGTTATAGGTTTTGTTACTTTACATAATCCTATATTTCTTGAAGGTTTTGTTGATCAAAAAAAATTATTTTCTTCTTTGTTTTTGTCTGACTGGATTAATTTGAAAGACCTGTCTTCAAGATCTGAAATCCTTTCTTCTGCTTAGGTCTAGTCTCTTATTAAAGCTTTTAACTGTGTTTTAAAATTCCCTTAGTGAATTTTTCATTTCCAGAAGTTCTGTTTGGTTTTTAAAATATATATCTTTCCTCTCTGTCGTCTCCTGAGTTTTTTTTCTGGTTTCTTTGTTTGGTTTTCCACTTTCTTTTGGATCTCACTGAACTTCCTTAAAATTCATAACTTTAATTCTTTATCTCTCACCTCAAAGTTTTCATTTTGGTTGGCAGCTATTGCTAGAGAGCTCATGTGGTCTTTTAGGAGTGTCTCAACCATCTGTTTCATCATGGTGCTGAAATTCTTGTGCTGGTTTCTTCTTAAATTTAAATTTAAATTCTTAAATTTAAAAATAAATTTAATATTTTAAAATTTATTTTAATTCGGTGGGTTTCTTCTTTCCTCCTTGAGAGTGTGACTATTGCTCATGTTGGGTAGGTTCATTTGGCTTTGCTTCTGTGTGATTTCAAGGGGCCAAGTCTCTGTGTAAATGTCTTAGTTATAGATAGCCTTAGCATAGTGGTTTTCCCAAATGTTAGTTGTTTGTAGGTTGTGGTAGCCTTGTGTGTGTGGTGAGGCTCACTGTCTCCTACAAAGATGAGGAGGTGGAGGTCTTGGGAAATTATCTCATTTCCTTACTTTTGTCAGCAGGAATTATATTGGATTGTGTAGTTCATCCTACAGGCCAGTAGGTGGTGCTTGCAGGCAAGAGACACCTGTGATAATGGCAGTGGAATTTTTACTTGGTCTTTGTTGATGGAGGAAGTACGAGGTGTCCCTGGTGATAGTCAGGGCATGGAGTTCCCAAGGGCCCCATCCTGCACTGTGCTGCCAAGGCACTGGAGGGGGCAAAGCTGGGTGGGGCTGGTTGGACAAGTCTGTGACTAGGTTCTTTGAGGTCAATGCTGACCTTGGTAGGGGTCTAGGAGCAGCTCTCAGGCCACTGGGACAGCCCTCCAGGGATGGCTGGAGCTGCCTCTTCTGTGGCACAGAGCCCACTTAGGGGAAGGCCTGAGGTGACAGATAGAGTTTCAATATGTATTCTGAGGTGGCTCAAATGGTGTGGCATGGATTTGACTCAATCAGCACAGGAAATAAGGTTATCAGTCATGTAGAGTATTTGGAGCATAAAACCACTGGGGTAATTTCTTAGCAACTAAAGAAAGAAAGCCATTGTCAGCATTATACAGTCAAAGTTCTTGACTACCATGTATAGCAGAAGCTCAATGTTTACTGTGAACTGTTAAGTTTTCAATTTTGTCTGTCCATGCCTTCTTACTGTCTACTGAGTTAGATTTAAATCTCAAAACCTGAACTGAGACTCATTAATTAATTTTTCATCATTCCTACTGAAAGTCTCATGAGTGCTCCAGGCATCATTCCAGGTACTGGGTCACTGAGGCAGACAAGTGAAGAACAGACTAGTTAGGGAAATAGACACCAAGCAAATAAAGAGTTAAGGCTCACATTCATCAAGTGCTTACTCTGTGCCTGTCCAGGATCTAGTACTTTTATTAACAAGCACAATCCTCCCCAAAACCCAGGGATGTAGAAAAAACTACTATTCAAATGTTAGAGGGGGAAACTAAGGCATAGAGCCTTGCTCCCAGTGATTATGTTGGAGAGCCAGAATTCCAATTGAAGCAACCTGATCTCAGGATCTGTATTTATAACACCTATACTATTCTTATTCTCTAATAAATAAACAAGAAGAATATCAAATGCCCATACCTTCTCTATTAAAAATAAGATGATGCGATAGAGAGTAGAGTGGGTGGTCAAGGAAAACCCCTGAAGGGTGACATTGAAGTTGATCTCTGAATAACAAGGTACTACATAAAACATTCCAGGTTCTTTATGATTTCTTCCGTGATGGCAGTATATTCTCCAGATTATTTTAAGATACAAATTAGAATAACGGCAATGACATTCTTAAACGATTATTCAACTGTCTTCTACCTCTATTTACTCAGAGAACAAAAAAGGAGATGAGAGGGGAGGGGGAAGCTGTACAGCCTGTATTCTAGCTCTTGGCTTACTCAGCCTTGTTGCAATATGGCCAGAGCCATAGATGACAGTTTAAACAGCTTTTCTAGGCTTGTAGGCAGACTTGCCAATAGTTGATTGTCTTCATAGAATCCCATGGGATGTGAGCTGTGAAGCTCTGGCTGTGAAACTATGGCTTCTCAAATGTTTTTATTCCCTCAGTTGTGTGTATGATTTATGAGGTCATAGCCTCAAGCCTGAACTATCAGCTCCAGTTGTTGGGTTTACCTTGCAGAAAGTAGATGATATGTGTCACTTTTTCATTTATGTGTGCAGAGACTCTTTCATCTGTCTACATTGCACTCTGGGGCTTCTTTCTAGACAGTTGGTTTTTCAAGTGTCAGATAACTTATCTCTGGGCACAGCCTCAAACCCCAGCTTATGATGAACATTTCTAGCTAAGACATCTCTGCCACCACTTTAGGCAGTTTATTGGGGTGGATCGATCGATCGATTGATTGATCAAGCTATCTGTCTATATACCTTCTTTCACTACTACAAATATATTAATGGTTATAATTTTCATATAGGATTATGTGTACTTAAAATATTTTCATGTCATTTAGAAGCCTGAAGTGGAGTCAGAAATAGGAAAACTACGGGTAGGAGTTCTGATGAGTTGAAGACTGTCTACTTAACCCTTTTCTATCTCTGTCTAAAGGTTAGTTCAACGAATGCAGAGTCCAGTGACTATTACTCTCTAAAGAAAACTCCTTAAAATGAGAAATGTTCATACTTCCTGTGGATTCAGTTGCTATTTTTAAAAACAGGCTTTAATTATAAGTACCACATTAAATCAGTCTTATAATGAGTGAGAACTGGTGTTGAAAATGAATTACTCTGAATGATATCAGTCAAGAAAAATCACATTAACATTTCATTATGCGTGAGACATGATAAAATTCTCTATGACTTCAGGAGATATGATTGAAAGGCCATTTCTTCCATAAGGTCTTCATACGATGCCCGGAGGAGAGGTTTCCAAAAAGTTCCCTGCTGGGATCAAAATCTTATTTTATTCCATTTTGTCCCAAGGGCTTTCATTCCTTTTAACCCATAAATTTAAAATTAAAAATTGTATGATTCAGCTTATTATAATGTCTTGCTCTGGGAGAATTAATATAATTTCTCTCTACCTCCTTCTTGCATTATGTTTTAATGTTAAGAAATCTTAAATCATTTCCTATTGTATATACATAAAAACTCTTTAATATACTGAATTACACACTCATTTTAAATATCAAACAGTTGTAGAATTAATCCCAAACCTATTTTACATGGTAATAGGCCACATGTTTTAAATCATTGCACCTCTTTTAATCAGTGCATAGGCTCCCTGAATAATTATATATTGTAATGACACAGGAGGAATATATAGTATTTTCAATGTATTGGTTGTCTAGGATGCCTGTGTGACTTAATTATTAATAAAATATTGTAATAAAATTTAATGTCTCTGGCTATATTTAACCTGTATATTTATTCGAGAAAAATGTTATCCTAGTTGAGTTTTCCTTTAATTTAATAATAAAATAGAAGGCATTTAGTGAGACCAAATTGTTTCAAAGCTTCTTAAATAGTATCCAGAATTTGCCTAAACAATTTCTATGTAATAGCTAATTAGTTCATGTTAAGGAAGCACTATGATAATTCAATTAAGCTACCATCTCTCAACTTGAATACATAGACCTGTAATTCAAGATTGGATGGGGGAGCAATGTGATGTTATCTAGTCATGTTAAAGATATGTGTAGCCTATACCTTCCCAAATTTATTTTCGTATTTATAGCCTAGAGCAGTAATCTACAAACATTTGTCTTCAGTATCTCTTTATACTCTTAAAAATTATTGAGAACCCCAAACAGATCTTGTTTCATGAGTTATAGTTATCATATTAGAATTTAAAGTTGGAAAATTAAAAAGACAGATTTATTTGTTAATTCATTTAGGAATAAGAATGACACATTTGTTACATGTTAACATGATATTTAAAAACAAATATATTTTCCCTAGAAGACAGAAAAGGATGAGTGGCATTGTTTTACCATTTTACAAATCTCTCTGAGGCATGGCTTAACAGCTGGATTCTGATGTCTGCTTCTGCATGCAGTCTGCTGCAATGTGCTTCCTGTAAAGCACATAAAGGAAAGTTAGCTTCACACAGATGTACAGTTGGAAAAGAAAGTATTATTTAATAGCTGTTTCAGATAACTGTGGATATTCTATTTGATACTACATCAAAACTCAACATGTTTTAATTTTTTGAGGCTTAGTTGCAATGTAGAATATGAAACCATATCAGTAAACATTTTAATACTCTGCTGCATTAAAATAAATTGGCCTATCTTGTATTTTGAGGGGTTCTTTAACCCATGCATAATTTTGTAACATCAATAATTAGTCATTTGAAAAGAATTGGTTCAAAGGGTTATGCAGATATTCTAAATATCTGCGTATTCAAGAGAAACTTAGAAATTTTGTATGGATAACAAATACTGTCAGTCTTTTTTCCTCAAAGTCACAAACGCAGTTTGTTCAAATAGCAAAGTCTGAATTAGTCATTCTTTCAAGTAAAAATGGTGTTGATGAAACAGGCACCTGGTTCAGCTCTCAACTCAAACCATCACACAAGTGTTTTTTCTTGAGAGAACCATCTTCCTATGCAGCAGAAGTGTTTCACACTTCCCTTCCATTTTGTCACACAGAATGTTAAAAAGATGTGTACTCAAGGGTTGCCATTTAATCAAATTAAGTTTTGAAGTTTCCTCATGGACATTTTAAAGGGGAAACTGGCATAAAAAAGAAAACTACAAGTGCATGGTGGCAAAGAATGCAATGATAATTAATTGCCCTTGCTGCCATTGCCTTGATTAAGGCACCAGCAGTGTTACCTACCATTGCTTTTGTACCCTCAGTACAAATGTCATTTGTGGGCAAATAATGTCCTTGTGTTATCATGAAAATAGTTTGACTTTGTGAACTCTTGGGGACCTCAGAGGTCCATGGATGACATTTTGAGAACTGCTGCCTTAGAGAAACTCTTGTACATGTTTGAAAAAAGACAAGTAGAATGACGGTCATTGTAGTATCATGTAATAGCCAAGGGAAAGGGAAAATGCTTGAAATGTTCACTGACAAAGTGGATTAATATCAATAAATAAATATATATATATAAATATATAGGTCTGTACACATACATATGTAGAGAGTAAAGGGGTGAGGGGGAGAGGAAAAAAGCGAGAGAGAGCTTGTGGAATGAGGTTAACAATACGATAATCTGAATGAAGGAATTTGGAGGTTCTTTTGCACAGTTCTTGCAACTTTTCTGTTTAAACTATTGCACAATAAAAAACATATGAATTAAAAAACAAACCCACTAATCCAGGCATATGTATTATACAGCAATGCAGGGAAAGATGGCATGTTTCAGTTGGCATATCTGCATGGTTTGCTTGATTCTCTGCATTAGTAAATGGTGAACAAAATACCTAGAACATCAGGGATAAAACTGATAAAATTTAAAGATTATCTCAGAGACTAGGAAGGCACTTGCATTAGCTTAACCTAGACACATCGAGGTAGTCAGCCTAAGAAGATCTGCTAGGGATGTCAGTATGTATCAGCAGATAAAATGCAATAACAATAAAGGCAAAAGAAAAATTAAATGACAGTATACAAAAGTTTCACAGAGCCAAGAGGACTCAGGTTTCAGGAATAAATTAGTTAAAAGAGACTAGTACCCATTTGTGATTATAGGAATATGTTATATGCAGCCATAACTTGCACCTGTACTTAGATTTAAATTTACTGTTTAATTAATTTTACATAATTTGTTTCAGGGTATGATTTTAGGTATTTTCAAACTGAAGTCTTTTTGAAGCATTTATTCCTTCTTGTGCTAAAGTAATCCTATCAAATACTGCTGCAAAATATCTGACCTGTGCTAACTCAACTGACATTCACATTTAAAGCCCTGGTTCTCAAAGTGGGCAGACCAAGTAAACAGTGTCCACTATGGAATGTTGCCTGGATGTGGCCCATTTTCTTTGAGTGTACTTACTAGATATATTTATGATGCCTGCTTGCCCACAATCCCTTCTGAGAAAGATATGCCTAATACATGGAATGGCAGTGGGGGATAGTGGTTTGTACTGTGTGATCTCTCCCACATGAACCTAGGGTGGACATCTGACCCACCAGTCTGTAGTTTGGTGATCTACAGATGATTGATGGATTGATCAGGTAAACTGGGACTGGGCTGATCAGATATTTAAATCTCCCTCTTCCTCCACTAATTTGAACCGAACTGGGAATATGCTAAGATTCAAACCAAGTGGTAAATTCAGAGATGCTATTAGTAAGGTAAAGCCCATAGTGGCTGATGATTCAATCAAAGTTGTATGGAATGGAAACCATCAGAAGACAGAAGCCAGGTAGTTTGAAGAGAAGATGGATCAGACATGCTCAGATAAGCAGAGATATCATGAAATACAGAGAAACTCTGTGGCTCTTGAAAGAGACAATAAAAAATAGCCTGTTTTTAGAGTTCTGCACGTTCTTGGTTTCTAAGCCTGGCCCAAATCCAGTATCCTTCATGAGTGGGTTTCTATCCATACAGCCAAATAAGCCTAACAGTATACCACTGACCATTGGGTTAATTAGTGGTTTTAAAATTTATATGTTTGCAATAGCATATTATTTATAGTCATACATTATTTAAATAGCATATTTGTTAGTGACTTTTTTATTGGCTTAAAATAGCAATCATCTAGAAAAATCAACTTTTAAAATAGGAATATAGAGTGAAGTGATGATTAGGAGAGATGTGGACCTTCTTACTTTAAAAAGAGAACTAAAAGGGAAGTGGCTGTTTACCTAGTTTCTGGGAAAATAACAAAATCCTGGGTTTTGTTTGTTCAGCTGAATGATTAGAGTGGAGCTTGCTACTGCAACCAAACCAAGGGTTGTCGTGTTAGTAGATAAGTAGTTGCTTCTCTCCAGATGCAGTCTTGAGCCTCCTAAGAACTTTAGATTGGAAAGTTTTCCTTTCTTCACAAATTATATCAATATTTCATGATAAAATGCTAGTAATACCAGTGGTAATGATGTTTTACCTCTAAGTAATGTGACAGTAACTTCAAACCTGAAATACATTCTGAAAAGAGAAAGTATACAACGTCATTATTAACAAGTAATACAGTGTCATTATTAGCAAGTAATTCCTATAACTTTTTAATCAACTCTCTCATCATTGCTTATATAATAACAAATACATGCCAAATATATTACATGCTAACTCATTCAATCTTTCAATAATCCTATGAAGTAGATAATATTATTTCCCCACTTTACAGTTAAGAGAAAGGTCAAGTATCTTCCCAAGACTACACTGCTACTGAGGCGTAGAATAGGAATTTGAATTTAGGCAGTCAGGCTCCAGAATCTATGCTCACCACTGCATTGCACTTTATTTATAGGTTTATTTGATCCATTCACACATTTATTCAAAATCTAGACATTTCATTTTCCTATGTTTTCCCACATATGTGGTGGTTTTAAATGTTACTAGAGAATATCCATTGCATTGGTTATTTTATAGAATCATAGGCAGGTAACTTGTTTTCTCCCAGTGAAATAAAGTTAAGATTCAAGAAAAATTCTAAATAGTTATTTTTTATTTTACAGCTCTTCCAGTTGTACAATGAAAGGCCAATATTGACCTGAAGTCAGAGATATTTTAAGACTTTTCATTACAAGTCAACAAGATAGCATTGGATTGCTTATGAGAAATCTTTCCTTCTCATCTATGAACTCTTCTCTGTGACCTGTCTCAAGGTATCTCATCTCTTCTCAGTTTCCCACCCTGCAAAGCACCAATAATACTAACATATTTAACTACCCACCTTTTTCCAAGAAAAATTACAAAGCTTAATGGTGATCAGCCCATCACTTTTTTACATATATAACATTCTGTGCAAATTATTCACCAAGAGTTATTAACAGTAATATATTTGGACATTTAATAGCTATCAATAACATAGTAATAGCTATGATTCATTGAGTGCTTAGTATGTTCCAATCATTGTGCTAAATGATCTTTATTTCATTGAATCTATGCAACATTGCTATGATGAAGGCATAAACATCTACATTTTACAGATAAGGAAACTAATGTTTTGTAAGTATCAAAGTATCAACATCAGGATTTCAAATTCTGTGTTGTTCACCATATAGACTATATTGCTTCTTTCTCACTTTTCTGTTTTTTAAAAAATGTTTTTATCTGGAATTATTTTCCTTCTGCCTAAAAAACTTCCTTTATTTTTTTTTTGTAGTTCAAGAGCAGTACACATTTTGTAGTTAAAATTATCTCAGATTTTGTTTATGTTGCTCAAAATGACAGTATTATGCCTTAACTTTTACAAAGTATTTTGCTGGATATAAAATTCTAAAATTCTAGGTTTGACAGTTCTGTTTTTTCCTTTCAGAACTTTAATGATGCTACTTCATTATCTTCTGGCTTGTGCTATTTCTGAGAAACCTGTAATCACTCTTCTCTGTGACCTCCTGTATGTAGGGTGACTCTAAGATTTTTTTCTTGATTGTTTGTTTATGAAATACTTCCATGTGGTTTTCTTTGTGCTATCTTGCTTAGGATTAATTGAACTTTTAAGTTTGTTGTTTTCATCTAATTTGAAAAAAACATTGCCCATTATTTCTTTAAAAGTTTCTCCCCCAATCATTTTCCCTCTCTCCTGGGGCTATAGCTCCATGTGTGGCTATTTGCTAAGATTCTGTTAGCTTTTTTTTAAAAAAAACTTTTATTTTAGGTTTATGGCCCATGTGCAGGTTTCTTATATTGGTAAACTCATGTCATGAGGGTTTGTCATACAGATTATTTTGTCACCCAGGTACTGAGGCTAGTACTCAATAGTTATTTTTTGTGCTCCTCTTCTTCCTGCCACCCTCTTCCCTCAAGCAGGTCCCAGTGTCTGTTCCCATCTTTGTGTCCATGAGTTCTCATCATTTAGCTCCCACATATAAATGAAAACATGTGGTATTTGGTTTTCTTTTCTTGAATTAGTTTGCAAGGGATAAGGGCCTTCAGCTCCACTCATGTTCCCACAAAACACATGATCTCATTCTTTTTTATGGCTGTGTAGTATTCCATGGTGTACATGTATCACATTTTCTTTATCCAATCTGTCACTGATGGGCACTTAGGTTAATTCCATGTCTTTGCTAGTGTAATAGAGCTGCAAAGAAATTTGTGTGCATGTGTCTTTATGGTAGGATGATTTATATTCCTCTGGGTCTACACCCTGTAATGGGTTGAATGGTAGTTCTGTTTTTAGCTTTTTGTTATCAGTCTCTTTTTTTCCTCTGAGCTTCAATTTGGGCAACTTATATTGCTATGTCTACAAGTTCACTGACATTTCTTTCTTCATTATCTAAACTGCTGTTAACTCCACCAAATGAATTATTATACACAAAAATAATTTATTATTTTATATATTGTAGTCTTTTTCCTCATCATGCTCATGTTTTCCTTTAACCATATTTACAATATCTGATAAAAAATTTTTGGCTCTAATTCACCCACTTCTGGTTCTGTTTTGTTGTTGTTGTTGTTTTGTTGTTGTTTTTTAATTTTATAGAGACCAGGATCTCACCATATTGTCCAGGCTGTCTCGAACTCATGGGCTCAAGCTATCCTCCTGCTTCGGCCTTCCAAAGTGCTGGGATTAGAGGTGTAAGCCATTGCACCTGGTCTGGTTCTGTTTTTATTGACTGATTTTGCTCTGGGTTTTAGATCCTATTTTCCTGCTTCTGAGGGCACGTCTAGTAATTTTTGACTAGGAGCTGAAAATCATGAATTTCATGTTGCTGAGTGTCTAGTTTTCATTGTCTTCTTTTAAAGGGTGCTTGACTTAGTTCTGGTAGGCAGTTAAGTCACTTGTTTTTCAGTTTAATCATTTTGAAAATTGCTGAAAAATTTGATAGGGCAGATATAAAGTAGATTTTACTCTACAGCTGGTTTACTCCTGTTACCCAGGCATGGCTCTTCTGGGGCGTGTACTGAGTGCCTCAAAGAGTCAGTAAGAACTATCCATTCTGGCTTGTTAGAACTTTATCATCTCTCAGGCTTAATGGGCTGTGAGAATTGTTTAGCTGATAGCACTCTAGTAATTGTCAGCTTAGCTTCATGGCGTTTCAACCTGCACATGTGTAGCTTAATGTTCAACAATAGGCTTCAGAGGACCTTATATACATTTCTGGAACTTTTTCTCTAGATAGCTATCTCTTTTCTAGTACTCTGCCCCATGAATTCTAGCTGCCTCAGCTTTAATATCTCTTCCACTCAGGGAGGCCATGATAGTCTACTTGTCTTCCCTTTCCATGTACTTTAGCCTGAGAAGTGCCCTCAGAAGGGTATCCAGGGTAATTGCAGGGCTCAGTTGATTTACGTCATTTCTCTCAAGATCACAGTCATGTGCTGATTATTACCTAGTACCAGAACCAGATCTTGCATATATTTTACCCAATTCTTTAATTGTTTATGAAAGGAAGAAAATTTGATACTAATTACTCCAGCATGGTTAGATGTTTCTTTTTAAGATGATATATAGACCACCTTTTTAGGAATAACTCTATTGAGAAAAATGAATTACTTAATGTGAATGTATATTCCATGATTAAAGAGAATGCAAACAAAAATGAGATACACTAAACTTTTTATTGTGAATAACTATAATAGTGGAAGTAAAAATAAACTCTTCTAGGAACAGAATTTGTCAGGAATCAGAAATTTTCAGGAGTTAACCTATTTTTCCTTGGGCTTTAAATCATTCTATTTTCAAGAAAGGAGAAAAGTCATCTAAATTCTTTTCCATACTAACAAACTTGGCATTCCTGCCCATGGGAATCTGATGATGACTGGGTTTAACAGTGTGAGAAAAATTTTCTTCTTTGGGCATTCTGTTAGAAGGGAAAAGAGTTTGACCTTGTTTTGGTTTTCACATAAAATAAAGGTTCAGGGTTTTGTTTATTTATTCAGGTTTTATTTTAATGTTCTTTGCCACTGGTTAAGTCTTGGGGAATAGGTTGGGTGGGAGTTGGGCTGCCACACTTTAAAAACATGTAAGTAAAAAATGATGGAGCCTGTTAAAGGAATTTCAAAGTCAAACATACATATCTCTAAACCCAACAGCTGGGAACTTTACTTTCTCCACAATAAGTCTCTGACTTGTTTTTTTCTTAAAGAAGGACTAATTTTAATGGGTAATGTCTCTTTTCCTAACCTACTTTCTGGAATAGGAAGGGAATATGTCTTATTTTATTCTTTTTTTCTTTTCTATAATCCCTTCATTTAAAGATATCAGTACAATTTTCTATTCTTCCCACATACAGAGGGTGTTGCTGGCACTGCATCATTAGGCTGTGTTCTTGGGGGTGTTTCAGTGGGCTTGGTATGGGCTTGTGTTTACCCCTCCACATATTTTCCTGGTGTTTCTAGAGGCCAATGCCCTATTTTGGGATACCTCTGGTGTCCGGCACAAAATTTTTGGAGTCATCTCAGAATTCTGCCTACCAAAATGGGCAATAGGGTATCAATTTTCAAAACATATTTATCTATTTGCATGTGTGTGTGTGTGTGTGTGTGTAAGTGTGTGCACTCATGCAGTTTTTAAAAATTTTGTGCCTGGCCATAGTGGCTCATGCCTGTAATCCCAACACTTTGAGAGGCTGAGGCAGGAGGATCACTTGAATCAAGGAGTTTGAGAATGGCCTGGGCAACATAGCAAGACCTTGTCTCTATTATTAAAAAAAATTGTAAGATATAACAAGATGCTAATAAGTGATCATTCTTTTCACTTGGCAGCTGAGAGTAAATGTTAATTTTCATATTTTTTTCATCATTCAGAAGTTTTTAATAAACAACTTCATTATAAAAACCTTTTTTTGAAAATGTAATTCTGTAAAACATTGAAAAACCTACTTTAACAGAGATATGCCCTGTGCATTTTCTAATGGCACTTATACTTTACAATTAAAAACCTTGTTTTATATGAAGCCAAAAATACTCTAAGAGGTTATTCACTGTGTTTACAAAGTGCTAGAAGATTTCTGTCTTGTATTTTTCTCTTTAAATAATCTGAAGTTACAAGAGACTGGCTCCAAAGCCTTGACCGCTGGTAGGGAAGGAGAAGCGTGAGAAGTGGTGTCTCAGGAGTTCTAGTGCCAAATATGCAGAGGTGGAAAGGTGCAAGTGCAAAAAATCAGCTAAGGAAGTCAGCTGACACACAAAGAAATTGGACTGGAATTTTTCCAAACCCCTCCATGGAGGCACTAGATGTTTATGGTGAACACCCTTTTCCCTCGCCATAGACCCTACTCTCCAAAGGTGAAGGTCAAGGCCAATCCCTTCCACAGCAGGTTCAGAGTTTCAGGAGAGGCCAGGGTGGGGTCCCAGAGGAATCTGGACTTTTCTGGCCAACACCTGCCTAAGGCAAAGTTTCTTATTACACAAATATCCTTGTTAAAAAGCAAAATATTGATCCTGTACAATATAACCTGTTAAAAAATCTTGCTTACAAACAGCTCCTAGATAAGAGGGGAGGTGGAGAGAGGACGGAGAAAACAGCTACCAAAAAGGGAAGGGGGAATTTAAAGGACTACTAGGGAAGGTTTTAGGGCAGTGGGAGAATTCCAACTTAGGACAGTATCTACGAGCAAAAAACTAATCACACCTGCTTCCCGGATTTCAATTAAGAAAATGCCATTTGTAAAAGGTTGGGCGGGGGGGATCCTCATTGGTGCTCCCTTCCCTGCCTCCCACCTCAAGATGATGCAGAGATCCTTTGAGCTGACACCTGGGCATGTCATCCCCTTACCCTCAGGACTGCATTCAGCCCTGACCAGCTACTGTGTAGGGTGGGAGGGGAATAGCTCATTGCTGACAGAGGCTGGAGATGGCAGGGAAAGGGGACATCACCCCTGTTTTTCCTGGTCCCTCATTGGTCTTTGTCATATGCCATGGCTCCTGTCCTGGGCAGATGCCCCTCAGGTTCTCATGGCCTCAGTGAGCATACTGAAGTGAGTTTGGGTACTGAGTGTAGGATAAAGCTATTCTTGTCCTTTGAACAACCAGGCCACTAAGGCTTCCCCCACCCCCAGCCCCCCAGATTTTAGGAAGGGAGGTTTAAGAAATGACTGGCTAGCTATGGTCCAAAAAAAAAGGTGAAGGCAGATATTATTCCTCTGTACCAGCAAAGTTCACAGTGATAGGAAAATTCCTTGTGGGTGCTGAGGACACTGAGGGAGGAGGAAAGGAAAGACAGGATAGATGGGAGGACACAGGAGTGAGGAAGGCAAGGAGAAAAGACAGGATGTGGGGGCAAGGCCCCAGTTACAAGGGTTCAAACAGTTGCTTTGCCAGTCCTATGACTTTCCCAGCATCACTTATGGGGAGAGAGAATTCGAGGGAGGGACAGGAAAGGGCAGGCAGAGAGGAAAGGACTCCTCTAACAGCCCAGGACTTTGTATTCTGCAGCCAGAGGCCCAATGGCCTCTGTAAACTGAGGGTGTAGGGAAGGTGGCAGTTAAGGTGAGAAGGGTTGCTGGGTCTAGTGATGAAAACCAGATACAACAAGGAGGATGGCAACAGCGAGTCCCAACTCGATTCTCACATACCATCACCTATAATACAAGTCCCAATAACATGACAGCATGCAGGAGGTGGCTGCGTATCAAGGTAGACGCTTTTTAAAATAAACCTTAATTAGTCCCTGGGACTCACTGAAACTAACTTTTAGAAGCAAACCATCTAGTCTGATTCTAACCTTGCCAGACATTTTAATATCTGGTTTTGTTTTTTAAAAGGTATCCCAAGCTACCCTGCCTATATCGAAACACACTCCAAATTGCTTCCAATCGAGGGCTAGGGAACTAAATGTTAAGGCCTTTACCTCAAACAAGGAGTACTGGCTTGGGCTGAAGCAGAAGCCTGAGTCCTGGACCTGCTCAGTTCCTGATGACAAACCAAGTGAACCTAGACAGAAGGTGGGTGAGGGAGGACTGGTACCAGGCTGAGGCAGTTCCTTGGTAGTTTGTCCTGAAACCCTAGTGGAGAAGTCAGTATGAGGCACCTACTGAGAGAAGTGCCCAGAAACTGCTGACTGCATCTGTTAAGAGTTAACAGTAAAGAGGTAGAAGTGTGTTTCTGAATCAGAGTGGAGGTGTCTCAAGGGTCCCACAATGGAGGTCCCTGAGTTGCCTCCCTTCCATGAGTGGGAAGAGTGAAGCCCATGAAGATCTAAGATGAAGCAAGGATGGGGTTCCTGGGCTCTGGGCAAGGGCTGTGCTCTCTGCGGCAGGGAGCCCCACAAGTCAGAAGAGAAGAACTAATCATTTGTTGCAAGAAACCTTGCTGGATACTAGGGGAAAACTGGAGGCGGGGGCAGGGGCACAAGAAGTGGAAGTGATGTGATGGAGAGCAGAGAAGCCTTCATGGGGGACACGGACGGGGTGGGTACTAAGGCTCCCTAACAGAGCCAAAAACTGAGCTGAGGACCTCTGTGGGGGCTACTGGAATGCTTGGTGGAAACGAGGCAGGGTGGTGCTACTCAGGCCAGACGTGAAGACAGGAGGCAAGGAGTGCAGAGGCCCAAAGTTCAGTGGTCACCCCGCTCCTGGGGAATCTTGAGGCTGAGCTTGCAAAGTGGTGAGCAGGGGCTGTGCCTCTGCCTGGGAGTAGCCCATGACCAGGCCTCCCGTGGCCCCAGGTGGGTTACACGGGGGCAGGTTGAGTGGAAGAAAGCCCAGTAGGTGGGAGAAGTCCACGTTAGCAGCGCAGAGGGCCTCAGAGAGGTTGGCGGGGCTCTTGGCAAACAGTGCTTCATCTAGGAGGGCCGCAGCTGCCGCCGGCTGAGGTGAGGCGGGCTGGGGTTCAGCGGCTGAGAGAGACAGGCTTCCAGGAAGCTCCGCCAGAAAACTATCCACCTCCACTTTGGGCAATTTGTCGGGCAAGTATGAGGTAGATCCAAGCTGGTATTTTGGAGGGAGCTGAGCTGGGGAAGAGATAGGTGAGGATTCCAGAGGGCAGCTCATACCCATGGGCAGCGTGTTGTGCATCAGAGAGTGTTGCACGCCCGTGCTGGGCATGGTAGGGATGTGGGCACCATACATGCCCATGGGCAACATGCCAGGGAAGGCCTTGGTTCCCATTACTTCCCGAGAGGCCATGCACAGCACAGGGCTCAGCTCTTCCTTCACACTGACTGTGGAGCTGCAGCTAAGTAGGCCTAACATGTCCCCACGGGCTCTGTCTTGATCTTGAGCTGCTCCTGCAAGTGGCTCTTCTTGACATGACGCATCAGGTGGTCCTTACGGCCAAACCGCGGGGCACAGTACTGACACAGGAAGTCCTCACGGCCTGTGTGCACCACTAGGTGCCGCTGTACATCCTTACGAGTATAGAACCGCCGGTCGCAGTGGTCACAGGGGTGCTTCTTCTCCTTGGCACTGCCTGCTACCCGGCGTGAGTGGCCCTTCAGGTGCTCTAGCAGGGCCTGGGTACTCTCAAAGGTCTGCAGGCACACCTTGCAGCTGAGGTCACCGCTGCTGGCAGCATGCATGGCCAGGTGGCGCCGGTGGCCCAGCTTCGTATTGTAATTCTTACCGCACTCAGAGCAGCGGAGGGCCTCTTTGTTAGGGTCATGGGTCTGCAGATGGTTCCGCAGATGATCCTTGCGGTGAAACACCTTATCACAGTACATACACTGGTGGGTTTCTGGGCTGAGTGGGTGGCCATGTGCCTATACAGCTTGTATTTGGAAGCAAAAGACTCGCCACAGTGCAGCTGACGGCAGCTATATGGTCTCTGCTCTGGTTGTGGGAGGCTGTGAGGCCTCAGCTTCTCTCCATTTGAGAAAGGTTTCTCCGAAATTTCACATTGGCACTTCACTTGACTCTCCGCCTCCCGGCCCCGAGGCCTGGGAACTAGTTTCCAGCCCACTTCCTCCTGATTTGCATCTTGAATCCAGCGGGGGACGCTGGTGAAAAATGTGGTCATGGCAAGGCTAATGGCAAAGGGCCATGTTATTGAGAATTCCTCACCGTCCGCTCCACACAGGCTCTCAGCTCTGTCACAGCCTCCAATGCAGCTTTGAGAAAACAATCTCTTCGCCGCACTCGGGGCCCCACCGCTGCGGGTTGGGCGGCGCTCGGGCTCCGCCAGTATTTTCAGATTTTTAATCTTTTTTGGTTGTCAGCATTTTCTAGTATTTCTATACAAATACATATTTTAAAAGTGAGCTATTTTTAAGACGTTTAAGTAATAACTTTAAAATGATAACCTCACATGATAAAACCCAAACATAGAACAAAATGCTAATATTATTTTCTAAGTTATTGACTTTTTTACCAGTTGCACTAACTTCACTTAATATTTATTTAAGACACAGGCACTCAATGCAGGGGTAAATGTATAGTACTTCTCTATCCTTGCTTTGAGATGACCAAAAGTGGAAAGGCAGAGAAATTGACAGGGGCACTCATTATGGAGCTCATAGGGAGGGTGATTCCTCCCTGCATGAATTACTCATAAAAGAAGTACAAGAGATTCATGACATTGCTCCTGACAGCATTGAAATTCTTTTTAATGGGGGTATGACCTAAAACGAACCTTTGATACCTGATCATGATGATGGGCTGTTTATTTATTTCTTCTCCTTCGTTTCCAGCTGGGGAGATGATTAATGTACCTACCTTTCTTGTGATGGCCTCTGTGTATAAGTTGCTGTCCTTGAAGGACATTCAATGTTTTAAAGTGCTGATCAGTCTAATTTCTTCCTTCTAGGCTGTCTAGAAAAGGACACCAACAATCACCCATGAAGATTGCCCTTCAACCTTTGGGAGGAAATGATCGAAATGGGAGCTAGAGAAGATTGTTGTTGGAATCTCAGGTGAGGCATTTTCTATCCGATACAGGAAACTTATATACTTGTAGAGGACAGTTGAAGCCATGTTCAGGTAAAATGGTGCCATATAATGACAGCTGCCTGATGTGTGGAGGGCTTTTTTTTTTAACAATGACAACAAGTTAAGCCAAATGGCAACTGATTTTTTGTATTATTTTTATTCATGATTAATCGTGATAAAACATACATAATATAAAATTTACCATTTTAACCATTCCTAAGTGTACACTCAGTAGTAATATTCACATTGTTGTGCAAACAATCTCAATGATTTTTTTTTTATCTTGCAAAACTGAAACTCCATACCCAAGAAGCACCATCTCTCCATTTTTTCTTCCTCTCAGCCCCTGGCAACCACCATTCTACTTTCTACTTCTATAAATTTGTCTATTTCAGATACCTCATACATTGTATAATACTTTTTTTGTCTTTTT
This sequence comes from Homo sapiens, assembly GCF_000001405.40. Classification (NCBI taxonomy): domain Eukaryota; kingdom Metazoa; phylum Chordata; class Mammalia; order Primates; family Hominidae; genus Homo; species Homo sapiens. The sequence goes on along the minus strand of NC_000004.12, from coordinate 84,242,661 downwards.
GTGACTGGCGTATTTCACTTAGCATAATGTCTTCATAAGGGCTTCAAGGTTCATCCATGCTGTAGGATGTATCAGCATATCCTTCCTTTTTAAAGGTTAAATAATATTCCATTGTTGACCACATTTTATTTATCCCTTGTCCATTGATGAACAGTTGGGCTACTTCCACCTTTTGGCTACTGTGAATAATGCTCCTATGAACATGGGTGTATTCAAATATCTGATTAAATCTTTGCTTTCCATTATTTTGACGTTTAAACTCAGTTTCACTACCACTACTCCGAAGTGGAATTGCTAGATCATATATAATCCCATACATAAGTTTCTAACTCCATCACTGGGCGGTAAATGTCGGAAACTCAGAAGTGCAGGCTTTGGTGCAGGAATGTGAGTAGTTAGAGGCCGTTACACAATACTTTAGGCCAGCGATCCAGAGCCACCCCATTGAAGATGAAGATGCATCCTTTGTTTGGCAGAAGTTACAGTAGTGATAACAGCAAGGGATAGGAAAGCTGAAGGATCTGGAACACATTAGTCATCTGGTCATAGGAAGCAAGATTGATAGTGGGTGAGCACAGAAATGTCTCACATTATGGGAATAGAAAGGAAAGAACTATAGTTTTCAAACTTCAATCAACTTAGAAAAATTTGTGTCATCTTTTGATTCCTGGGCTTCATTCTCAAGAGATTCCCATTCAGTAAGCCCTTTTGAGGCTCAAAAATCTGCATTTTAATAAACATCAGAGAAAAATAATTGGGGAAAAATAATTCCTAACAACTGTCAGGTGATGAAAACTAACTCTTGATTACCCATGTTAACATGAAGAAAAGTACAATATCCTGAATCAATGACTCTCAAGCGCTGGGCTATAAACCAATTCTGTGCTGGCTACTTCATCACTTGGATAACTTGCTGCATTAAGAAATACCTGGGCCCCAGTGCCTGATTCTCAGTGTGTGTTATATTTTTCTCTATCTTCACAGGTTGGCAATTTCATAGAAGGCCCACTTTTCCCAGTTTTAAGGTAGTGATTAAATCCAAAATACAACTGAGTGCTTTAGAGGAAGGAACACACGTGGGACTCCCATAGTTAAACTAAATGTCATACAGACTTCTCTAATGCTTTGATTTTTAGAAACTTGACTCATGCTATCACACAGTCTGTACAAGTCTGGCCCCTTCCTCAGGATTAGTGCAAATCCTGTGGTATAGCTCCGCCCAGAGACAGAGGCACCGGGAGGAGCAACTATAGACTTCATCCCCTCCTAACTTTTCAATTTTCAAACCCACTCATGAATTCTTTGAGGTTAATAACTTTACTGAAGATCCCTGGAGTGAAGACAGGCACCATATTACTACATGGCAGTAATCTCCCACTTGTTAATTGCCCCACACCATCTTCTGTTGTATTTTCTAAAATCCAAGCTCCTAATCTGTGCTGTACTTGTTCATTCAGCTCTCTAGAAATTGCAGTAGAATCTGCCATTCTCCATGGGATTGTTGCCATCAGCAAAAATTTTCTATTTACTACCAACAAGTCTCCGGAGGGGGGAATATATTGTGTTAAGATGGTTGTTTAAGATGTTATTTTCCCAGGATTCAGGATCCTGAGTCTACACGATAGAATAACTACCAAACCATATCAAGATCCTAAGGATGGTATGGGGAGGTCATGCCCTCTTCAAACTTCTGCAGTTCGACTCAAACTTTCTCTCTTTAACTTCAACCTAAGAAGGTCTCCTAATGATCCAGATCATAACACATGGAATCCATAACTCTATTAGCTTGCAATAGGCAGCCCTGAAGCCAGGATCAAGATTGCAGAGTAGCCTTCCTGATTTGCTTTCCCTTATCCCCATACTCAAATCTTAGTTCTCTGTGTTTTTAACATTCAGATTATAGGATTACACTAAGAAAAGAAGACAGTGTTTGCCCCAACAGTGATTTATTTAAATTATTTTGATGATACTAAGTATCCCAATTAATATGTTTGGACTTGACCCACTCATATCATCACTTGATCTCCTGAGGTAAGGGGATTGGCTGGTGGAAGGAAGGTAGACTGGAAAGGAGTCCCTCTAGAGCTGTTAATCTGTCCCATCAAATCACCATAAATCAGTTCCTAATTTTCAATAGAAACAGAAACAGCATTATTTTAACTGGAACCTGACTTTCATACTTCCCTGTAAACCACTATCTTGAGCACTGTGGGAATTTGTGGAGAATAACAATTTATAATTGAGGGCTGGGCACAGCGGCTCACACCTGTAATCCCAACACTCTGGGAGGCCAAGGCGGCAGGAATAGTTGAGTCCAGGAGTTCAAGACCAGCCTGGGCAACATGGCAAAACCCTGTTTCTACAAAAAATACAAAAATTAGCTGGGTGTGGTGGTATACTCCTGTAGTCCCAGCTACTTGGGAGGCTGAGATGGGAGGATCATCTGAGCCCAGGAGGTTGGGGCTGCAGTGAGCCTTGAGCATACCACCTTACTCCAGTTTTGGAAACAGAGTGAGACCCAGTCTCTAAGAAAAAAAAAGAATTTATAATTGAGATTTGAATTTTATTTTTATTTAGTTGGGCTAGTGCCAGCATTGGTCACTTTAAGCCATTCAGTCAACACATTTTATTAAGCAACTGCTGTGCTTAGTAAAATACTAATTTTATTGAATAACTACTATGTACTCACTGAGCTAAGTACTGGATATATAATGGTGAACAAGACAGAAATAGTATAATACCTGCCAGTCTAGTATGAAGGTCTCTAAGTAAACAAATAAACAAATACTTAGAAATTGTGAGTAAGCATCAAAAAGAAAACAATAAAAAGGAGGTGAGATAGAGAATAAAATGAATTATATACTTTATAGATAGGGTCATGGGGCCTTTCTAAGAAGGTAACATTGAAGCTGAGACCTAAAGGATGGGAAGGAACTTGCCATGTGATGAGACGTGAAGTGGCTAAGCTGGTTTCCTAGGCAAAGGCCTTGAGGCCAAGGAGCCTGAGGCAAAAGGAACTGGCTGAAGCTCAATGGGAGGGAGTGGCAAGAGCCCAGGAGGTAGAGGTTGCAGTGAGCCAAGATCGTGCCACTAAACTCCAGCCTGGTTGACAGAGCAGGACTCTGTCTCAAAAAAAAAAAGAAAAAACGAAAAAAGTGAGAGAGAGAGATAAGGGTGGCTGTATCATCAGACTTCCCAGCACACAGGACATTGCAAGGCCATGGGGAGGAGTTCTGAGCCATGGAGAGGGTGGGCGGGAAAGGCATAGGACTGGAAGTAGGAAGGTAGGTGAGAAGCTTACTAACTGCCCTGCACAATCTGTCCTGTACAAATTTTAATGCTGATTTTTCCATGACTGATGGCAGTTTATTCTTTCTAGATGTCTCTCTTACTTGATTACACAGTTTTAGGTCAAGCACGTTGTTTCAGAATGCATTCAACACCTAGCAGTAGGTGTTAAATAAGTACTTGTTGACTATATGGATGTCCTATGTGCTCAGTTAGCCTGAGATACAATTGCTGTATCTCCCTAGTACCCAGCACAGTGCTATGCACAGGGTACATGTGGAGGATTAATTTAGAGGGCTTTGCAGGATCACATAGAAAAGAGTTTTTTTTTAATCTGGCATTTTCTCTTACTTTACCATATAATCTTACCTGAATAGACTTAGCATTTTTCTATGAATTATTCATTTTGGCACGTACCCTGTAAAACATCTAAAGTTTCTAACCTTTTGAAACCACAAGGCTTCCCCAGCCAGCATTTAGAGTGAAATCTCTGTGGTAGCACTTTACCAATTTACCCCTTAGCTCTTTTTCAGTTCTTGGCTCATGTGAATAAGCAGGCCAAAATGCTCTTCTGGGAATGCACAGCATGGATATATATTTTTTACTATCACAGCAGAATTGTTTTGAATGCATTTCGGCCATGAGGTTAAAGCTCTCCACAAGGAATACTTCAGCAATAATTCTGCTGCCCTCTAGCTGAGCACTGAAATCCCTCCGGAACGCCAGTATTACCCTTCAAGAATGGTTCTGAAATGACTTTACTCACTTCCCCGTCCTTTCTATTCCTATTGAAATTCTTCTAGAATGCTCACAGTAACTTTCAGCCAGATGCCAGAATAACTTTTAAGTTCTAGATAGGTTTCTGTAACAATTTATTACACAACGCAACACAAGCTCACTTTTTAAAGAAGAGGCCTGATAGGCACAGCTGGTCAAAATTGTATTCCAGATATCCTGTGGTTAGTTTATTTCAGCTTTATTGATGACTCAGAAATTACATAAAGGGATTGTGAAAGGACCAGCACACACGTGCAGATGAAAGGGTTGGATTTTCTTCTTAGATTCTGCTGCCACTACTGCTACTGCTACTATTACTTTCTTTTCCAATTATTATTTTCAGAGACACTAGGCATCAAGACTTGGCTCTGACACTTGTTAAATAAAAGCCAGTGAACTTGGTCAGAAACAAAATGTATTCTCATAAGCTGGCCCCAAACTTGAGTAACACACAGAAATCAAATTATGTTCAAAATTCAGAAGCATAGAAAGATATATTTTTCATTCACTTATTCAGTAAATGTTTATCAAGTGCCTACTGTGTGCCAATGCTGTGCTAGGCACTAGAAATACATGGGTAGACAAGATGGACATGGAATTTCCAATGTAGCAGGACCTCCATTGTTATGTGGAATTCCATTTGGACACAGAATCAGGATCAATGATTTTTATATGACCAAATGTATAAAATCTATGCTTTGAGGCCGTATTAGCTTCTTAGGTCTGCATTAACAAATTACCACAAACTTGTTGTCTTAAGACAATGGAAATTTATTCTCTCACAATTGTAGAGGCAAGGAGTCTGAAATAAAAGTGTTGATTTCCTCTGAAGGCTCTAGGGGAGTGTATTAGTCCGTTCTCATGCTGCTAATAAAGACATACCCGAGACTGGGTAATTTCTAAAGGAAAGAGTTTTAATTGACTCTCAGTTCTGCATGGCTGGGGAGGCCTCAGGAAACTTACAATACTGGTGGAAGGGGAAGCAAACATGTCCTTCTTCACATGGCAGCAGCAAGGAGAAGTGCCAAGCAAAAGGGGAAAAGCCTCTTATAAAACCATCAGATCTCATGAGAACTGACCATCACGAGACCAGCATGAGGGTAACTGCCCCCATGATTCAATTACCTCCCACTTGGTCCTTCCCACAACACATACTGATTATGGGAACTACAGTTCAAAATGAGATTTGGGTGAGAACATAGCCAAACCGTATCAGGAAGAATCCTTCCTTGCCTTTTCCAGCTTCAGGTGGCTCCTGGTGTTTCCTGGCTTGTGGCAGCATCCCCGCAATCTCTGCCTCTGTCTTCACATGGCCTTTTGCCTCTGTCTTCACGTGGCCTTGTTAGAAAGACAGCAGTCATTGCACTTAGGGCACACCCTAAACCAGTATGACCTCATCTTAACTAATTATATCTGCAAAAGCCTATTTCCAAATAAGGTCACATTCTGAGGTTCTGAGTGAACATGCATTTTTGAGGGACTGTATTTTACCCAGTCTAACAGTGAGCTCATTGTATTAAAACAATTAAAACTACTTTATAATTACTTTTTTCATGCGATCACCTTAAGTTGAGATAGCAAATGAGTTTTCTATTGTTTTTGGTTTTATTTTGATTCAGTCATTCCAATTTCAATTAATCAGCAGGTTGTATAATTCACAATGAATCATTATCCAAAGGATAGCCAACTCTCTGGTTTGAGATTCTCTGTACATGGAGTCAAATAAAATCGGCATAGAATATTGTAGAAGAGTTTAGTTTTATATTTTGAAGTACAAGGTATATTCATAATACTTTGCTGAAAGCTTTACAAAAGTGCAATTTTCTTGAAGAATGCATTGTTAAGTCTATCAAAGTACAATAACCTGAAAGGGATTGTTAATGTGTCAATTAAAAGAATCCTGATTACATTCTATGGGCAGTGACTAAGAATTCCTAAAAGCATGATTTTATTATTATTATTTTTTAATCAGTGACAGGAGGCAACATTGTTCCATACGTGGGGACAACGGAACATATAAGTGGAAGGTTTTAATCAACATGTTGACCTCTTTCCCCTTTACAATGTAATTTTTTCCCTAACGGTAAAAGACAATATGCTTGAAAAATATTATATCACTTATCTTCCCTTTATATTAAAAAAGTCACAGATGGTGCTTGAATTAAGAAAGTGACATGTCATATATTTATAGCAACTAATATGTGTTGGACAATCCTAAATTCAAATGCTTTCACCAGTTGTTAAGCCATGTATTAAGACAGTTTATGGTTTTGGAAATATGGTTGCTGGGGCAATAACAGAGAAATCACTGGGTCCTGATGCATTGGTTCGAGTACTAGCTTTCACGACTGATTGCTGAGTGTTTGGGGATGGATATATGGTTTAATAGAAAAGCATGTGTTTTGTATTTATACAAAATGCACTGGTTTCAAGATTCAGGTTTTCTACCTGCTTGTCTTCAGAAAAGTACATTTTAAAAGCTTCCTCAACAATTATTTTATTGTCTGTAAATTCTAGAAAATTACTCTTACCTCATGAGATTTAAGGATACAATGAAATAATACAGACAAACCCTCTGGCTCAATGGCTGGCAAATAGTAAATATTTCATGCTTCAATATTCTATGCTTCAATTCTTCTTTTCCAAAATGGAGACATAATACCTACTGTGCAGCACTATAGCCTAGTGCTTAAGAACATGAAATTCGAGTTGAGAAAATCTGGGTTTAAACTCCAGCTATGCCACTACAAAGCTATATAGCTTTGAGCTAGTTACTGAGTGACTTGATGTTTCAGTTTTGCCTAAGAATTCATCTCTCATCTGCTGTGTGGTTTCAACTTCAGCCTTAGACTGTGAATAGCCAATTAGCTCATTGCCAATTTCAGTATCACTTCTGCTATTCTTGAATTTGTACATGATCAAGTAAGTTGCCATTCTATCTAGTCAGCATAACAATATTATGTAAATAAGTGAGGTATGCTTTTAGATGCGTTGCTAGTTTATACGACAGTTTGAACTATTATTTAGGAAACACTCACTTCTTTCCCCTCCCATGTGTATGAAATCTATTTCTCCTTCCTATCAGTGTTGGGCTTGGCACAATACTTTGCACAATAGGATGTAGGTGTTTGTGATATAGCAAAGGCTTGGAATGTGCTTGTGCAATAGATTTGCCATCTTTCCCCTCTACTATTGCCATGAGAAGAGCTTCCTGTAAGCAGCAGCTGCTCCATCAGCCTTGGGCCCAGAATGCCCACCTGCAGAGTAGACTTGAGCCCAGCCTGCAGTGAGGAGCCGCGTCCAGTTAATCCTACAGCTTGAGTCAGTCATCAGCCTAGACCAGCTGACCTTCAGCAGACCTATAGATATATAAGCAAGAATAAATAGTTGTAGTTTTTAAGCCACTAAATCTTGAAGTGGTTAGTTATGTAGCATAGCTGTCTAATACAGCTTACGGATATGCACTTTTAAATATAAGTAAGCATTTTAGACTTAACTTGAAGTAAAATTTTTCTTTTTTTTCTTTTTTTTTTGTTTTTGAGACGGAGTTTCGCTCTTGTTGCCCAGGCTGGAGTGCAATGACAAGATTTCGGCTCACCGCAACCTCCGCCTCCCAGGTTCAAGGGATTCTCCTGCCTCAGCCTCCTAAGTAGCTGGGATCACAGGCATGTGCCACCACGCCCAGCTAACTTTTGTATTTTTAGTAGAGACAGGGTTTCTCCACGTTGGTAAGGCTGGTCTCGAACTCCTAACCTCAGATGATTCACCCTTCTCAGCCTCCCAAGGTGCTGGGATTACAGACGTGAGCCACCGCACCTGACTGTAAAATTTTTCTTAAGACTTTTATATCATAAAACTCTATTATCTAGTTGATGTATAAATGTGCTACAATAATTAACAATGATTATGAAAGCTGTTGATTTTACATACAGAAATAATTTTTTAGAATGTTCAAATATTTCTTTCTTTTTCTTTTTTTTCTTTTTTTTTTTTTGACAAAGTCTTGCTCTGTCATCCAGGCTGGAGTGCAGTGGTGTGACATTGGCTTGCTGCAATCTCCACCTCCTGGATTCAAGCAATTCTCTTGCCTCAGCCTCCTGTGTAGCTGGGATTGCCAACATGCACCACCTCGCCTGGCTAATTTTTGTATTTTTATTAGAGACAGGGTTTCCCCATGTTGGCCAGGCTGGTCTCAAACTCCTGACCTAGGTGATCCACCCAGCTTGGCCTCCTAAAATACTGGGATTACAGGCGTGAGCCACGGCACCCGGCTAGAACGTTCAAATATTTCAATAGGGAAATATTTGGATGATTTTAGAAAAATTATATATTCCTCAATACAGCAAGTGCTTAAGAAAGTTAAAACAACAATAGACATTCAAAGAATAGATATTGGATTATATCATATATCATAAGTAATAATGAATATTACTTGCCTTCATCATTTTTATTCTCCATTGCTGGAAGGATGAAGGAGATCTATACCTGGGACATTTCTCAAAATGAGACGAGATGAGAATTTAGAGCTAGGATGGAATTTATGGCTGTGCATGAGTTAAACAGTGAGATGTCTCTGGGCAGAAGTAGAGATATTTCTGATATGAACCAATCTGGGACACCTGTTCATGTGGGATAGAACATTGAGAGGAGCTCTCTATTAGTTTTTCCTAATAGAGAATGGCTTGTCAATTTACAAACTTGGGTTTCTACAAGAGGATTTGATAACTTCCTCCGAAGTCTTTACCAACAGATGAGAAGATTCTCCTTTTTGTCTTGTTGAGTGAGGTCTATTTCACCAAACATTTTAATTATAATAATTTTTCTTTAAAACAATTATATATGGAACACTTCATGAATTTGTGTGTCATCCTTGTGCAGGGGCCATGCTAATCTTCTCTTTATTGTTCCAATTTTAGTATATGTGCTGCTGAAGCCAGCACTCACCAAACATTTCGCATTGTTGATAGCCAAGATCTGCATATTAGTATCTTAGTCTTCTCAATACTTTTAAAAAGTCACTTCCATTTTTTGATCTTTGTTATCTACTTAGGAGTTAGTCACTTTGTTCTATGTACTTTGTATATGGCTGCAAATAGGATGGAGGGGTGCTTATGCTTTTGAGCTTAATTGGGAGAGGATATAAAACAAATAGTTATGCAAATAATCATAGTTTTGATCAAAATGCCCTGAAGGAGACATGTAGGATGTAATGACAGTGTGTATACAATGAGGGACTAACTTAAACATGGAGGGTCAGGAAGGCTTCCCTCAGGATTAGAGTTTGAGCTGAGACATGAAGGATGAATAGGAGTTAGGTTAAGAGGGGTGGGGTGGAGGGAGTAGGGGTTTGGGGCAGAAGCAGGTATTAAGGCCAGAGGTGGAATGTAGCTCAGCCTACTGCAGAAATCTTAAGATCAGTGTTTCTGGATTGCAGTGAGGGGAAGAGATTGGTGAGAGAGAAGATTCTCCTTTCCTTTCCAATGCTAAGGCCAACAACTTTTAATATTTGAAGATGTTTCATCTTATCAAATGTGCTAATCTTGACAATCTTTTAGGAAGCAGACGGAGGAAGTAAATAGAAACATTGCAAGGAGGGGACATTGGCTATTTTTGGCCCATGCTCCATGAAAGCATCGAAAAACCACAACTCTGCCTGTCTCATTTGACTTCTGTGCTCCACGTCTTAAGCTGCATTGACCAATCAGAGAGGCAAACAGTATCTATGTTTGAGTCATCCCCATCCTTTCAAAATCCTTCTGAAGACTGGTCATTTTTTTTCTCTGTTAGGTGCTTGGAAAATTTTCAGAAGAACAATCAGGCAGAGCAGTGAATGCTGTGTGTGCACACATTCCCTCTGGCCTGGTGTTTCCAGTTCAGCGGGCCAATTCTCACTTGTCATATTGAGTCCTTTATTACAACAAAATATTATTTTAAAGCTGCACTAACAGTAATTAGAAGCAATTGAGTTTTATCAACTAACACAAACTGTGGGATTTGGAACTTGGATTTTAGCTGGTATTTTAATGAAGTGTGTGTTAACAACACCAAATCTTCTGTCAGGGCAGCAGCTGAGTTGCATATACAGACCTTTGATGGGGGACCATGTGTTAACGCTCAGAGGCGTCAGGCTCATGTGGGACTCTGCACATCCATACCTCACAGATCTGTGTCCCAGGCCCATTTTTATTTTCTCCTTCTCCTAATGAAAATTCTGATAGTCCTCACATTTGTTCCGATAAAAATTTGGAATTAAAGATGATTATTCCATGTGCACATATTAATAATACATATTTAGACGTGAGTAATGATGACTTAAATTTTCTCTTTGCTCAACTGTCTCATTTCAGCCTAAGATGTTAAAAGGACACATAGTACAGAGTGTTAGAAGTTATTTAGTGGGAAGCAGGAGGTTAAGGAGGAAGCAAGAATAAAATAAAGAAGGAGAAGGATGCTCTCTAACTTTAGGTTAGCATTTCTAGTGGAATAAATATCTCGAGGAAGTAGGGTATTTCTCTTTTTAAAAGACAACCTTCTAAACCTTGGTCAAAGGCCTTTTCAGTTGAACATTTTCAAAGAATAACCTACAATTTACTAAAGAAGCTTACCCAGCTAAAGCCAAGACCATCATGGCAGAATGGAGCCTTTTAAACTATGAAAGCTATGCTCCTATCAGGACAAAATCTAGACTAGAGAAATATGGATCACAAGCTTTGCAGACAGATTTTGCCTAATCAGCATGCAATTCAAACTAAAATCTAGTACTTTTAACTTTTTATCTGCTCTTCCTATTTTGACCAATGCCAGAAGTAGACGCTATTTGCCTAAAGAAGATAACACAGTGAGGTGGTTTGGCTGTGTTTACACCCAAATCTCATCTTGATTGTAGTTCCTGTAATCCTCACATGTCATGGGAGGGACCAAGTGGGAAGTGACTGGATCATGTGGGGCAGTTTCCACCATGCTGTTCTCGTGATAGTGAGTGAGGCTTATGAGATCTGATGGTTTCAAAAGCACCTGGCATTTCCTCTGCTTGCACTCATTCTCTCTCCTCCTGCCCTGTGAAGAGGTGCCTTCTGCCATGATTGTAAGTTTCCTGAGGCCTCCCCAGGCATTCAGAACTGTGAGTTAATTAAGCCTCTTTCCTTTATAAAATACCTGGTCTTGGGCAGTTCTTTGTAGCAGCATGAAAATGGACTAATACAGTATTTGGTACTGTGGTAGTGGAGCGCTGCTGTAAGAATACCCAAAAATGTGGAAGCGACTTTGAAGCTGGGTAACAGGCAGAAGTAAGAACAGTTTGAAGGGCTCAGAAGAAGACAGGAAAATGTGGGAAAGTTTGGAACTTTCTAGAGACTTGTTGAATGGCTTTGAGCAAAATGCTGATAGTGATATGGACAATGAAGTCCAGGCTGAGGTAGTCTCAGATGGAGATGAGGAATTTGTTGGAACCGGAATAAAGGTGTTCTTGCTATGCTTTGGAAAAAGACTGGCAGCATTTTGCCCCTGCCCTGGAGATCTTTGGAACTTTGAGGTTGAGAGAGATGATTTAGGATATCTGGCAGAAGAACTTTCTAAGCGGCAAAGTTTCAAGGGGAAGCAGAGCATAAAAGTTTGGAACATTTGCAGCTTGAGGATGCAATAGAAATGAAAACCTCATTTTCTGGGGAGAAATTCAAGCAGGCTGCAGAAATTTGCATAAGTAACAAGGAGCTCAGTGTTAATCACCAAGACCATGGGGAAATGTCTTCAGGGCATGTCAGAGACCTTCACGGCAGCTCCTCCCACCACAGGCCCAGAAGCCTAGGAAGGAAAAATGGTTTTGTGGGCCAGGCCCAGGGTCCCCCTGCTCTGTGCAGCCTCAGGACATGGTGCATCCCAGCTGCATCAGCTCCAGCCTAAAAAAGGGCCAAAGGCTAAAAGGGGCCAAAGTAGAGTTCAGGCCATTACTTCAGAGGGTGCAAGCCCAAAGTCTTGGTGACTTACATGTGGTATTGAGCCTCTGGGTGCACAAAAGTCAAGAATTGAGGTTTGGGAATCTCTGCCTAGATTTCAGAGGATGTATGGAAATGCCTGAACGTCCAGGCAAGCTTTCTGCAGGGGTGGAACCCTCATGGAGGACCTCTGCTAAGGCAGTTCAGAAGGAAAATATGGGATTGGAGACCCCACACAGAGTCCCCACTGGGGCTGCCTGGTGGAGCTATGAGAAGAGGGCCACCTTTCTCTAGACCCCAGAAGGGTAGATCCACTGACAGCTTGCATTGTGTGCCTGAAAAAACCTCAGGCACTCAATGCCAGCCTGTGAAAGCAGCTTGGAGTGGGGATGTACACTGCAAAGCCACAGGGCAGAGCTGCCCAAGACCATGGGAGTCCACCTCTTGCATCAGTGTGACCTGGATGTGAGACATGGAGTTAAAGGAAATCATTTTGGAGCTTTAAGATTTAATGACTGCCTTGTTGGATTTCAGACTTGCATGGTGCCTATAGCTCCTTTGTTTTGACCAATTTCTGCCCCTCAGAAAGGGTGTATTTATCCAATGCCTGTAACCCCATTGTATCTTGGAAGGAACTAACTTGTGTTTGATTTTACTGGCTCATATGCAGAAGGGACTTGCCTTGTCTCAGATGAGATTTTGGACGTGGACTTTTGAGTTAATGCTGGAATGAGTTAAGACTTTGGGGGACTGTTTTGAAGGCATGATTGATTGTGTTTTGAAATGTTAGGACATGATATTTGGGAGGGGCCGGGGGGAATGATGTGGTTTGACTGTGTCCCCACCGAAATGTCATTTTGAATTGTAGTTCCCATAATCCCCATGTGTTGTGGGAGGGACACACTGGGAAGTGATTGGCTCATGGGGGTGGTTTCCCTCATCCTGTTCTCATGATTGTGACTGAGGCTCATGAGATCTGATGGTTTTATAAGCATCTGGCATTTCCCCTGCTTGCACTCATTCTCTTTCCTGCTGCCCTTTGAAGAGTTGCCTTCTGCCATGATTGCAAGTTTCCTGAGGCCTCCCCAGCCATGTGGAACTGTGAGTCAATTAAAACTCTTTTCTTTATAAATTACCCAGTCTCAGGTATTTCTTCATAGCAACACAAGATCAGGCTCATACACACAGTTATTCCATTTCTAGTGGGTTTTATCCTGGCAAGAGAAATGGCCCAGGATTTCTTTGATGCCCATAGAAATCTGCTGCACACCCATGCTTATACAGTCTGGAAGTGTGAGGGTATTAATACCCAGGGGACTACCCTCAACCAACAGGGAATGGGAAGTGGTGGATACATACTTCCCTCTTTCTCCATTTGGGCTATTTCAAACACATTCTATAAGAATTGTCAGGCGGTCCCAAGGAACTAAGAACCCATAACCTGTAGTGTTGGCTAGTATAATAATGCATTATAGTGTATACGTTTCTTTCTTCCTTGTTCATTCATTCTAATACACCTGATCCCTGATATCATATTCTTTAGGCTCTGCTTTCAGAGAATGTCAGTTGAGACCAAAAGAGTTCCCAGAAAGCAGACCCTTAGGATGGGATTTCAGAGCTGGATCCTCCACCTGTTAAACTATAGCAAAAACTCCATTGCTGATTTTAAGTGAGTGGTGATAATATAACCCCTAGCATGTTGTAGCACTACAATTACTAAGATACTCATCTGTAGTGGATTGAGATAAGGTACAGGCTTGTTTTAGGCTGTGGCATTTGAGTGGTATAGAGGCTATGGGGCTATGGTAACTGTAAGAGTTATCTAGTTGGTTGGCATCTATTAACTCCCTTATAAACCTCGAAAAGAGGAAACCCTGGGCATGATATGAATATCAAAAGCTTCTATGGCAATAATTAAAGAGACCCTTATCTCCTTCTGCCATGGAAAATCACATCCAGGATCTAATTGTAAGGGTAACTGAACTGCAAAGAACACTTGAATGCACAGCCTTGATAAGTTTCATATGACAAAGTCAGGGCCCTAAGAGTAAGTAAGTGTGATCTTGAGCTCTCATTAGGGAATATTTAGGCAGTGAAAATCTTAAACCCCTTAGATTCCTCTGAATTCTTCAGTCTGGCAGAATTAGCCTCTGCCCCTCTTACAAGATTATAATAGCTTCCCCTTGCCTGGAGACCTTGCAAAGACCTGATCTGTGGTAAGTGTCCTGCAAGATGTCCTTGGCACTGCTGTGGAATTTCCCTCACTTCCCTTATTGCCTCCAGACTGATAACAAGGGTCAGGTTTTGGTACAGTCCAAAGTAGAGAAATACTCTCCCAACTCTGTGAGGAAAGAGCTTACACACCAAAAGACCTTCCCATTCTTGCTAATGCTCATGGACAGTAACATGACAACATTTGTGGGAATGGATATCTTGTTGGACTAGGGTGGTGGGAGAAGGGGATAGAATCTAAGGCCGACAAGAGGAAAAATGTGTTGAGATTGGAGTACTCATCCATGACTTGGGGTTCACGGTACTGGCAGGGACACCTGGAATTGATTCTAATATGATCCTATAATGGCTCCTTGGCCCTTAGACATGATGGTGAGGTGGGGACACTGGAACTGCCTTGGAAGAGTGTTGTGGAAGGGGTCAGAAGACCCAAGAAATGTGGCAGTGTAAGAAAGGGTTGATTCTGCAAGAACAGGTCCTACTGCTTGATTCTGTTTCTTGGCAGGCTGTGGAGGATATTACCTTCCCTGAGGTAGTGTGGAATTCACTGGTGAGAGGGCCTATAGCATCTTTGAGAAGCTCAGTTGTAACTTTATTTGCAGGCTTTGTTGACAATAAAAGATGCTACCATGAAATGGAGCTCCTGGAATTCCAGCTTCCAGGATTCCAGAATGGCAGAAGCCAGATGATAACATTTAATCATCTTAGGCATGGTCATTTATCCTAACAGGCAGTAAGGCCAGAGTGGCTAGCAAGATACTAGAACCCACAGAGGTCTGTGGTGGCAAATAGATCATGGCAGATAAGGCGTTAGATGCTAGGGTGTTGATGAACTTTTAAAATCAAAACTAATTGATAACTTGTGATCAAAATCCTGATATCGGTCACTAGAATGGGAAATTACCTCACCATTGGACCCTGGACCATGGGCATTTATACTCTGTGAGGACTATTGGAGACCAGCTAGTTTTCCCTTGGAGAAATCTCATCTGCAGCTTTTTCCTTCAAAAATTGAAAATCTTGAAGGGAGGTGCTTTCCATGGGCTTCAATGGCTTGGATCAACTACAAGATACTTGCAGTGATTCATACAGAGTAGGTTGAAAGTTAACAGCATCAGTGTTATTAGAGTGTTTATTAGAAATGCAGAATCTACATTTTAATAAGATTCTCTAGGTTAGTCAAGATTGAGCAACATTGCCTTAGCGAGCTTAGCTCTATCTAATGGAGAAATGGAGAGGGAGGTGTGGCGTGGGCAGGGACAGATTGAGAGAGAGAGAGAGAGAGAGAGAGAAATTGACTGAGTAGGTGGAAACGGATATTTGAGCCATTGTAGAGTGTGGAATGTGGGGTGTGAGATGGCACTAAAGAGATACTATAGATGTGGCTCTAGATGATTTTGAATAAGGAATTAAAGTGACTCAGACAGCAAAAGATACTAATAAAAAGTTCACCAATTTACACACAAAAAAGAAAGAAGATGTAATGTTTGCTATTCTTTGAAAAAATTTTAAAAACCCAATTTAACAAGTAATAAAATGTTGTGTGTGTGTGTGTGTGTGTGTGTGTGTGTGTGTGTGATGTTATTTATGTATTATTATTTTTAAAAAATAATTGAGATAGGGTGTCACTCTGTCGTTTGGGCTGGAGTGCAGTGGCGTGATCACAGCTCACTGCAGCCTTGAACTCTCAGCCTCAATTGATCCTCGCACCTCAGCCTCTTGAGCATTTGGGACTACAGGCGCGAGCAACCATGCCCAGCTAATTTTTTGGTATTTTTTGTGGAGACATGGTTTTGCCATGTTTCCCAGGCTGGTCTCAAACTCCTGAGCTCAGGCGATCCACTGCCTTGGCTTCCTAAAGTGCTGGGATTACAGGTGTTAGCCACCATGCCTGGCCTGAGATATCATATTTTAACCTACTAAATAAGCTGAAGTTAGAAAAAAAAGATTCTCATTGTAGTCAAGGGCTTGGTAAGAAACTTCTCCATTACCGGTGGAACATAAATTATTATTATATACATAGAAGAGTTTTATAGTATTCATTAAGAATCGTAACTGTGTTTAGATCTTTTGCCCTTCATATCTAAGAATCTTTCCTAAGGCAATTATCAGAAATGGGAACAAGAATTCTTACGGACAAGTTACTATCATTGATAACTTTTATTGAATTCTTGCTATGTACCAAGCAATGTACTAAACTCTTTACAGGGATTATTTAATTCAATCTTCACAACACTGATGCTCAGAAGGTAATATTAATTTCCTAAATTTACAAAGCTAGCAAGTAGCAAGACATACAGGTCAACATAGTTCTCTTAAAAATGTTAAGAAGATTCTGTTCTACACAAACAATGAAATATTATGAAGCTGTTTGAAATAATATTTATAAAAACTTTGATATAAGATTAAGTTTTTAAAAAGAATGCAAAATAATATATTCTCAAATGTGCAAAAATGCAAAGAAAAAATACAGGCAGGACACATTGCACATTATTAACGGAGTTGTTCCTCGACGATTTTTCTTTGTTTTTCATTTTTTGCCAAAGCTTGCATTATTTTTACAAGGAGAAAAACTTTTAAAATGTCAACCAGGTATGATTTGCTTTTTTCTCTTTTTTCTTCTAAAAGCCAGAGATAGATGTTAGTCTAGAGGTTATAAGAGGCGTATATAACTACATAGTTGTGCTGATCAAATTAAGTTGCTTCTGAGGTCAAGGACTTAGATTGAATTTATCATAGATTCCATGGTAGATCCTAATTTATCATGGAGCCATGCATACCACCACCACTCATCAGGGAGATGTGTGGATTATTCAACCTATATCCATTACCATTATTGACCAAACAAACCAAAGCTCATACCCTAAGGATGATAGGTGGATTGTCCAGGATATGAGCTAATTACCTGTTCACGATTATCAAGCATCAAAGGTTATACAGGCTGAGCATCCCTTATCCAAAATATTTAGGACCAGAAGTGTTTTGGGCATCACATATTTTCAGAGTTTGGAATATTTGCATTATACTGGTCGAGCATCCCAAATCTGAAAATCCAAAATTTGAAATCCTCCAATCAGCATTTCCCTTGAGTTTCATGTTGGTGATCAAAAAGTTTTGGATTTAGGGGCATTATACGTTTTGGGTTTTTGGATTTGGGATGCTCAACCTGTATTGGTTATATGTATCCTCGTGACTTTAAATTTACCCATGCCAGTCTCTGACCTCATTAATTTTTCAAAATCTTTTAAAAGTCTTCCCTTGTCTCTCTTGTCTTTTTTCCTCTCTCTCTTCTTTCCTTCTCTCCCTCCCTTCTTCCTTCTTCCCTTCTTTTCTTCTTTTCTCCTATTCAACCAGTGAAATTCTCTCATACAAAAGCTTCTACTCACCAAGTTGCATTACTCAGCTGAAACAAACCTTGAGAAAATTCTGTCAGATAAAGTCCCTTTAGAGAAAAAAAAAATCTGACCAAAATGAGGCTTTAGAACAGAAGGATTACCTAAACGTGATGTACTTGATTTCAGCGCTATCACAGGGCTGTATTATTTAAGTAGGGTGCTTTTATTTATTTATTTATTTCTGTTCCCAATAAAATTATCATAGCCTTTCATGCAGCACTTCAGAGGCCGTTAACTTCTCCCTCATTTACACACAGCTTCTCTCTCTTTCTGTCGTATTTTGCATCACTTAACCCAGTGGAGTGTTTTCAGACAAAGGCTGCCTAAAAGCTGGGGCCCACATTGTGGCTCTGTGGCATTCATGGGCAGTATTGTTTTTGAAGGCCATCTGCCTGTCATTTGTTTGCTGATTGAGTTAGTGCACCTAATAATATTTCTTTATTGGACTGTGCTAGCCAATGAAAAGGAAATTATACACTCAACAGATGGATCACAAACCTTTCTACCTTAGTGCGTCGTCTCCTCGAGTTAGTTAAAAGCAATCATGAAAGCAGATTATAAGCGGAATAATAGCCTTTTTATAAATGGGTTTTGCAGTGGTTGCTAGTTGTGGTGCTAAACGTGATG